>NC_000005.10:25156305-25459335 GCF_000001405.40 Homo sapiens | reverse complement strand
TATATTATGTGTCATAATAATAAAACCTTAACAAAGTCATCTACATTTCTTGCGTGTGTGTGTGTGTAAAGAAACAGTGGTAAATTATCTAATAGTATTCAACATATTAATATTTTTGTTTTTATTCTTATTTGTTTCTTGACTGAAAATTGTATTAAATCACTGTAAATTTACATGCAGTTGAGAGAAGTAAAACAGAGAGATTCAATATATATTTATCTAGTTTCCTCTGATGGTACAATTTTTGCAATACTATTTTATAATATCACAACCAAAATATCATTTTGTATTTATCCACAGTTTTGTTTTCTGGGATTTCAGTTACCTATGTTAAACTGTGGTCTGAAAATATTAAATGGAAAATTCCAGAAATAAACAATTTGTAAGCTAAATTGAAGGTCATTCTGGGTAGTGTGATGAAATCTTATGCAGTCCCCCTCTAACTTGCCAGGGACAAGAACCCTCCCTTGGTGTCCAGTGCATCCAAGCTCTCTACATTGCCCGCTAATTAGTCACTTAGGAGTGACTCAGTTATCAGATGCACTGTTTGATGTGGTATCTCAGTACTTGATTTCAAGTCACCCTTATTTTACTTCATAATGGCCCCAAAATAGAAGAGTGGTGTCACTGGCAATTCGGATATACCAAAAAGAAGCCATAAAGTGCTCCCTTGAAGTGAAAAGGAGAAAGTTCTCAACTTAATATGGAAATTAAAAAAAATCATATGTGAGGTTACTAAGATCTCCAGTAAGAACTAGTCTTTTATGCATGAAATTGTGAAGAAGGATAAAAGAAATTTATGCTAGTTTTGTTGTTGCACCTCAGACTGCAATAGTTAAGCCCACAGTGTGTGATATGTGCTTAGTTAAGATAGAAAATGCATTAAATGTGTGGGTGGAAGACATGAACAAAAATGTGTTTTAATTAACAGAAATCAGGTTTGGTACTATCTGTGGTTTCAGGTATCCACTGGAGGTTTTGGAACACAACCTCCCAAAATAAGAGGGGACTACTGTGTCGACATTAACACAAATCACCATCATATGGAGATTTCCCCAGTTTTACTTTCACTCGTGTGTGTGTGTGTGGTGTGTGTGTCTGTGTGTGTGCATACTTGTGTATTTTGTTCCATACAATGTTATCAAATTTATAAGTTAATGTGTCCATCACCAAAATCAAGATGCTGAACAGCTCCATGAGCACAAGAGTCCTCATGTTCCCATTGTGTGATGACACACATCCCTTTGGCACCCAGCCCCAATTATTAACCCTTGTCAAACATTAATTTGTCCTCCACTTCTAATATTTGTCAATTCAAATATTACATACAAGTGGAATCATATAATGTGTAACGTTGAGACATTGTCTTTTTTACTCAGTTAATTCCCTGGAGATTCATTCAAGCTATTGCATGCATTAATAGTTCCTTCCTTCTTAATGCTAAAGGACAATAGAACTGATTCTAGTTTTTGATGATTTCAAATAAAGTTGCTATCAACACTTGTGTATAGGTTTTTGTGTGAAGAGAAATTTATATTTCTTTGTGATAAATGTTAAAATGTATAATTTCTGAGTAATATAGTAATTCAGTGTTTAGGTGATTTTTTTTAAATAAGAAACTGCTGAACTATTTTCCAAAGTATCTGCCTTATTTTATATTTTCTGTCATATTCTCTCTAATTTTTGGTGGTGTTACTATTTTTTATTTTAGCCTTTTAACAAGTATGTAGTGATAACACATTGTGACTTTTATTTGCATATTTCTAATGCTAATGGTGTTGAACATCATTTAATGTGCATATTTTCCACCTGTATATGCTCTCCAGTGCTATTTTGCCCATTTTCTAATTTGTTTCATTTTTCATTTTATTTTTTTCTGTTGAGTTCTGATTTTTAAAAAAATATTTTTGATTCTAGTACTTTGTCAGGTAGATCTTTTCCAAATATTTATCTCAGTCTTTTGATTGTCTTTCAATCTTCTTAGCAGAGACTTTTCGAGAGAAAGTTTTTAATATTAATGAAATTTACTTTATCGGCTTTTCATATTAATATCCATACTGTTGGCATCAAATCTAAAACTTTTTTGCCTAGCCTTGCATCTTGAAAAAGTTTCATGTTTTTTGCTAAGACATTTAGAGTTTATGTTTTATTTTAGTTCATGATCTATTTGACTTAATTTTAGTAAAAATTATGAGGTTGTTTTTGTATAGAGTTTTTGTCTTGGATTTGGTTTTTTGTCATATGCATTTCTAATTGCTTTATCACTTCTTGAAAAGCTAGCCTTTCTTTACTGAATTGTTTTTGTACTTTTGTCACAATAAATAGAGCATATGTTTTCAGGTCTCTTTCTGTGTTGTCGGCTCTGTTAATTTAACCTGTGTGTCTATCCCTTCTTTAATAACTCACAATCTTGAATATTGATGCTACATACTAAGTCTTATTGTTTGATAGAGTGATTCTTCAAACTTTTCTCTTCAAAATCATGGTAACTATTCTAATTCCTTTGCCTTTCTTTATAAACTTTACATGGATCTTGTATATCTTGTATGTCCCACCGAGATGCTGATAGGAATTGCATTTAACCTACAGGTCAGTTTAAAAAGAATCAACATCTTTACCATGTTAAGTCTTCCAATCTATGAAAAGAGTGTGTCTCTTCAATAATTTAGGTCTTTCATTTCTTTCAATGGTATTTGGCAGTTTTCAGCATATAGAAGCTGTTCATGTCTTATTAAGTGTCTACTTAAGTATTTCTTTTTTTTCTTTACTTTTTTTAGAGATTGCAAATTTTTTTTTTCAGTTTTTAGTTTTTGCTTTTTCTGTGTTCATGTTAGTGCACAGAAATGAGATTGATTTTTGTGTTTGATCTTGTATCCTTTTTTGGTTTTCACATTCCTTGAAATTTTCTGTGTAGTCGTATCATCTGCAAATAGACAGTTTTATGTCTTCCTTTTCAATCTGCATGCCTTTCTTACTTTTCTTGTATAATAGCAACATCTAGAACTTCAATTATTGTTGAGTAACAGTGATGAGTGGATATTCCTTACTTTGGAAAAATTCAGTCTTTCACCATTAAATACGATGCAATTTGTTCAGCTTTCAACACAGTATTTTTCATGGCATGAATATCTTTGGGTTTATCTCAATTAGTATTCTCTCAATTTCTTAGTTATTTCTGTCTTTCACCAAATTTGGGAAGTTTTCCGACATTATTTCTGCAAATACTCTTTCAGCCCAACTCTTTTTTTCCCTCTTTTCTCATTTTGGGCTCTAATGCAAACGTTGGATATTTGGTATTATTTCACAGATTTCCTGGGGCTCTGTTCAATTGTTTTCAGCCTATTTCCTCAGTCTGTTGGTCAGACTGGGTGAATGGTATTGATCTGTCTTCAAGTTCACTGTTTCTATCCTCTGCCATCTCCGCTCCACTATTGAGCACATCCAGTGAGTTGCTATATTTCTCTTAATGTATTTTTCAGTTCTATAACTTTCAATTTGTTCTTTTCTATAACTCCTGTTTCTTTGCTGGGCTAATCTATTTTTTATTTGTTTCAAGAGTTTTTTTTTTACTGTTTCTTTAATCATTTTTTGATGGCTGCTTTAAAATCCTTGTCAGAGAATTTCAACATCTGATTAATCTCAGTGGTAGCATCAGTAACATTGTCTATTGTTCACTCCAGTTGTGATTCTCTTGGTTCTTTTTATAATGACTGATCATAGATTGTATCCTCGATATTTTGTCTGTTATACATGACAAGTCTAATTCCTATTTAAATCTTTAATTTTAACAGCCAGTCACTTTGTTGAGATTCATGCAGGCCTTGTCCTACTTTCATGAGCTGTGGTTCAAATGGCAGTTTAATTCTCAGAGCCTTTCCTGTGCAGTGCTGCTGGGCCACTCTCTGACCTCTGTTGGCCTTCTCTAAGGGGCAGAAGAGATTTCTCCAGGCCTGGCTTCTGGGTTGCTCTCTGTGGGGGCACGTTCGCTCAATATTCCCCACAGGTGCTCCTTGTGAGTCCTATTTCTCAGGACAGGAATTTTCAATCCAAATGTTCGAAGCGGCTTTCTGGGCCAGACTGTTTATTGTAGCTGCTTTTCTCTTTTCATTTCTGTTCACCCATTGCAGTGCTTCTGGATAGAAGATGGGTTTCTGCACCTGCTGACTTACCTTGACTCAGTCCCTCCTGTTGATTTCTCTGCCTGCCTACTCTGGTTTTTTCCAATGAGGGAAGGGAATTTAAGGACTTTTCAGGCTTTGGATAAAAGAGGTTTTAGGCCTGGGTCACTCATGTAAATTCTGAATTTTCAGCTTTATTTTTAACTTCAAGGAAGCCCATATTAAAATCCCTAATTTTCACCTATCTTTTCTTTTTTTAAGATATGGGCATATGTGTGTTTTCTGACCAATGATCTGTAAGTATAAATATTGTATCACAGCTTCAGGAAGCTTCCTTAAGAGAGAGCAAAACTGTGTCTTTTGCTGTCTTTCTGCATAACGGTTTCCTTTGCGTGCCTCCTTGAAAAGGAAAGCTGACATCTTAAACTACGAGACTGAGGCTACAGAAGGAAGAGCACAGATGAAAGGACCTAGCACCTTGGCATCTAACAACAGGAACTGGCCACTAGCTCTATACTGCCTCCACCAAATTCACCTGTGAGAGGAAGGGGAACAAATATATACATTGTCCACATCGTCTACATGTATAAATGCCATTTTTACATTTGTCTATCATTTTTATATAACCCTGATATTTATTAATACAACATTTCTTTCCTGGAAGTAGAGTCCTGCCAATGCTAATGATTAAACAGTGGCATTGCCTTAGGAGGTGGTAAGAAGACGGATTTTTCAGTTGGAAAGCTATGATGTATTTATCCCTTTAATGCAGTGATAACATACCCAGTGAGACTGTCATCTGTAATACCACACAAATCAGCCTATATTGCAACTGAGGCCCAAGCATTAGGAAAACCTATAGAGACAAGTGGAGGATGGTTGTGTATTAACAATTTCTTCTTAGAAAGCATATATGAAAGAGAGGAGTTGAAAGTAGAGCCTCCATCTATGAATAGAGACATAATATTCACTCACTGGGTTCACTCCACTTTGGAGCTTTGGAGAGTAGAAAAGCAAAATGTTTTTTCCCTCAAATTTAACCAATTATAACACTGTCCTTGTACAAGTTGTAAATCTGTTTTCAGATATAAGGAGCAGCACCAGCTGACATCTAGCAAAGAATAAAGAATCTTATTTCCATGACCCCAAGGGAATAGACTCCTCCAACAACTTTAACGAGCTTAGGCGCAGATTCATCCCAGGGTCTCATGAAAAGATTCTAGCAAACCAACTCCTCAATGTCTAATATGTGAAACTCGAAATAGAACATTCAACAGAGACAACCCATATTTATGACTTCTAGAACTGTGAGATAATAAATGTGTGTTGTTTCAAGCCAATAATTTTGTGGTGATTTGTTACAACAGCAATAGAAAACTAATACAGATTACTCCAAGGTGGCTAGCTTTATATGATGTCAAGAGCTCAAAATGAGAGAAGCACAGAAATGAGTCAGTAAAAGATCAGAAATTCAGACTAAACCACTATATCTATAAATATCTATTTTCAAGGCAGCATAACCAGACCAGTCTAGGTCTGACCAAGGAACTCAAGTTCTAGGGTAGAGGTTTCATAATTGTTATTAGTAACTGTTTCTGCATTAATTCCCCACTCTACTCCCTTCTCCAAGTGTGACTTTTACAGTATTCATCATGTTTCTACTGCAGTACACATATTGAATTTTGGATGTTTGGTCCAGGATTATATGATTTTTTATAAAAGTTTCTTTTGTTTCAAAGTACTTGAAATAAACATTTAATATGTTTAGGCACCAAATTTAATAATTAATTTCTTTAGTAAACATCAATTCAGCAACTACTATATTTCAGGTATTTTGTCGGGTAAGAGATATTCAGATTAATAAGATGCTGCTCTCTGACAATGTATAGTTTAGTAGAAGATCTTGTAGATATCTTATGTGTAAGAGAAATTCAGGCATTTTGACCAATAGGGTGATGGCTGCTCATGGAGTAAGTGTGACACCGAGATAAGAAAGAGTAGAAATTTAAAACTTGATTCTAAATGATAATTCTGTATTAGCTAGATGTGAGTTCCTCAGAAAATTATTTCATTTCTCTATGCCTCAGTTTTTAGTCTTTAAAATGAGAATATGACATCTCTCTGAGTTAATGAAATATTTGCTTTAATAAAGATAAAGAGCACACTGCTGACTGCATTGTGATGAATTTGTAAAGAATATCTCTATCAGAATGATTTAGTAATAGTAATAACAGATATTTTGCATCTTTAGTTTTTAGGTTACATGGCCATGAGATGCCACATTTAGAACTTTGAACCGTATTGGAAATCACTCAGAGGTCCTGGATTTGGGGTGGATTCATGAGCTGAATGAACTTTTCCAGTTTTCTCCCTTGGAGGATGGTGGCAAGAGCACTGTGCTTGTGAATGGAAAGGTAAACACATTAGATGGCTAAAGAGAAAGACTTTTGCAGACCACTGGCTGTATCCTAATTATAATGGTTTAGTTAGGCATATGACTGCCCAAAATAAAGTCTGCCTCTCCATCTTAATACCTAGAAAATAGGTGATAGTACCTATCTTCTGTGTGTATGATATTGAGGTCATACTTATCGAGGACACTAGATTAAAAACTTCATCCCTAATACATGGAATATCTTATCACATACTGCACTTCCCCAGCTAGATTTTAATTTTAAAGAACAACAAAGTTTTATTTTGTTGAAACCATTATCATTCTAGGATAACTGTCATAGGATAACATACCTTTATGTATGTTATTTAGGGATTTTTTTCAGATTGTTTAGATTAGAATCAAAAACAGCAGCAGTAATAAGTGATTCCCTCCATGAAACAAAACCAGGTAAGAAGAAAATTGCCACAAGAGGCTTGTTTTTCATTTAAATATCTTCAATAAAAATGTGATGACTAATTTTTTTGTGTGTATATAATTAGCTATGTGCTTATATATATACAATTTAGTATTAAAATTAACAAAATAAAGAACATGCTAGAAAAAAAGAAGTAGGAATAATTAGGGCTTACACATACTGGAGATCATATCTTAATAGTGTTATTTAGGGATTTTTTCAGTTTCTTTAGATTAGAATAAAAAAGAGAAACAGTTATAAGTGATTCCCTCTGTGAAACAAAACCAAGTCCGAGAAAAATTGCAACAAGAGGCTTGTTTTTCATTTTAAGATCTTCAGTAAAAATGTGATGCCTAAAAATTTACATATATGTGTGTGTGTGTGTGTGTGTATGTGTGTGTGTATAATTAGCTACATGTTTGTATATATCTACAATTTAGTATTAAAATTAACAAAATTAAGAATATGCTAGAAAAAAGAAATAGGAATAATTAGGGCTTACACATACTGGAGATTACTGATATCTGGAGAACAATAGAAGGAAAAAAGGGCTACAGTAGTTAAGTAGAAGCATTTTTTTTCCTAAAGTTTAATGTAGAGGTGTAGATGTGGATGTAGAGCAGCCAATAAAAGGGCCACGTAATGGACATTTTATATTTTGGCTCACCCAGCATCATGAATTCCTTCCCACTTGGGGTGATATTCTCATGGTGCATTGATTGCTGTACAATAGGCCCCCACCTGTGTCTATGGAAAACTGTAGGGGAGACACAGACATTTGCTTTCCTTTTCTTCCTGGCAACTATATTATGACAGGATCAAGTTGAGCATTCAGACTTGTTTCTTTGAGCTTTGAAAGAGTGATGTGAGAAGGCAGAGTCCAGGCAGTGGTGACGCAGATGTAGACACAATGAAGCCAGTTGTGACCTCCTTCTCAGGCTGACGAAGTAGCACATTAATGGCTGTGTTGGAAGCTGTAGCCTGAATTTTTCTTGTCAATTCTCTGCAATTCCAATATCTTTCCATTACATTCACTGTCTGCATAATTTGGTCAGAGACAATTTCTGCTTTTGTATCATAAATTTTGTGTGGTACTCTACCTCTCTAATTAAATTTCACAGTGCTCCCTCCTTCTTCACTAACATTCAGCATCACAGGCCTATTTCCTGATTCTTGAACACAGCACGCTTCTTTCAGTCACAGAATCCTGGAGAATGCTTTTATTCTGCCAAAGTATCTCTTCCCACAGAGCTTTGCATGATCGCTTATATCCAGATCTCCTCTCAAAGGCAAAAATTCCCCGCCCTCTTTTATAGTACTTGAAATCGTATGAAAATTATTTTAGTATATATTTAGGCAATATTTGTATTGGAAATTATTTATTAGTTGTCATTTTAAATTTGTTTCTTCTCCCTCCCATTAAAATATACTCTGAGAGCTGGGACCTAGCATGTCTTAACCACAGCTCTATTCCATCAAACCTAGAATCACTCTTAGATTTTTTTTAATATTAAAATTGTAAGTAAAACAAAGAAGTAAAGTTTTTGAATAAAAAGTTATACCAGAAAAATCTGTATAACTGCTGAAAATTAATAACGTATTCAACACTGAGTTTTTTGCATATTGCTTATCTTAACAGATTGCTTTTGTTATGTATTTTATTTTTTGCCCTATTTCTGTATATGTATTGCCATTTTATAAACTGGTTTAATGAGTAGCTTCATTCTATAAAGATTTATTTGAGGCAATATGGAAAGAGATGCTGGGATGAGACTAGATTAGATCAAAGGAACTTGAGAGTGAGAGCTAAGAGGGAGTCAAAAAGATCTAGTTAAAAGACAAGGTTCATAATAACCCAAAACCTTGAATCTGTTCTGAGAGTAGCTGAAAAAAATTAGAGTGCTCTAAGCATGGAAAGAAAGGCTGATTGAAGCTTGAACTGAAACTATAAGTGGGAAAATTGGTTCCCTTGTAACATGCTGTTAAAATATTTTCCTTCTCTTCAGTCACTGGGCTAAACTTTAACACTTGTAGTCAACCAGAGGAGGTGTTGAGCAATTTACTAGGACAGTATTCACCCCAACTTTATGAAGTCATTTCTTCAATTCAAACTATGACACTGACACCTTTAAGTACACTGTCCAATTTCTGTTCAGAAGGTTTACCTGGAAAGATCCTACGTGGATCAGAATAGTTCATTTGGAAATCAAACTCAAGGACAGTCTGTATCCAAGGCTGAATTTTCACACCTTATTCTACTCCCTTTTCTAAATTATGCTTAACCACTATGTTGAAAATAATGCATGGACTTCTTCTATGAGAATAAATAATAGCATTAAAATAAAATTTGGAGGTGCGCCAAGGTCTCAAAAATACTCCCTCTTGAAATTTAAAGTTCAAAGATATTAAAGTTTAGATAAGTTCAATTTTTTAAAGTTTTTTTTTTTTGAATACTAGAAGTTTAATTTGTAAAATTCCAAAGTTGAATGAAAGCACAAATAACAAACATCAAAATGCCATTCTGTGAGTTTGTGGACAAGAGTAGATCAAAGCATAGCCCTTCCAGGCCTCCTTCCCCAGTCTTGAATATAGAATAGAACATAGAACGGTGGGTTAATGCTGCCTATTTAATGTGGCACTGATCATGTAAAGGTAGAAACTCTCCAATATTTTGTAGCTCATGGGAATTCAGTGTCTTCCAGTTTAAAGGCATCACATGCTTTTTTTGGCAAACTATGCAATGCTTAAAAGCCTTATAAAGATTATTTCCCCCATATCCAAGTTTGCCTCTGAACCTACTAGTCCTGCAGTTTGTAGCTGTGAGACTTCCTGTGGTACCTGCTACCCTCTCTCTTTAATTCTTGCCTTAGCTGAAAATGCTCATTAGGCCTCTAGCCCATGAATTCTCAGACATTTGTGCTCTTTCTCTGACGCCTGTCAGAGACACTGTACTTCCACCCTGCGCTACCTGTATAGAAACTGCCACATGTCTGGAGTCTCCACCATATGTTTGATACCCAATAAAATGTTCGCCTCTTCCTCACCAGGATTCTGAAGACTTTAAGAAATAAAATAAGGGCATGTCTATTGATGAACCAAAATCCCCCCTTTTTTTGTTTTGAGACGGGGTCTCCTTCTGTCACCCAGGCTGGAGTGCAGTGGCTCTATATGTGCTCACTGCAACCTCCGCTTCTCAGGTTCAAGCAATTCTCCTGCCTCAGCCTCCTGAGTAGCTGGGATTACAGGCACGCGCCACCACGCCCGGCTAATTGTTTTTGTTTTTAGTACAGACGGGGTTTCAGCATGTTGGTCACGCTGGTCTTGAACTCCTGACCTTGTGATCCGCCTGCCTTGGCCTCCCAAAGTGGTGGAATTACAGGCATGAGCCACCGCGCCCGGCCCCAGAATCACTCTTATTGCTGAGAAAGAGAAGTAGAGTTGCTGGTAGCAAGCCCTAACCCTGTCATAAGCCTTAAAGAAACTGTCCATAAACAGGATTTCTGCAGCAATGTGACACGCTCGTGATGGCGATCACGCACACTGCTAGAAGTTGTTGGTTTACTGGAGCAGGGCTAGGAAAACCTGGTCCGCCTGGAGCGGAAAACTACTCAAACTACAAACAGTAGCAGGAGCAGCCTGTGCCCTAACAACATGCTTTTGCTGCAGAAAATCAGCCAGGGCCTGTTTCTCTGCTCCTTGCTAAGAATGCTTTGTTTCCCATAAGGAATGCTTTTAGCTAATCTATAATCTATAGAAACTATGCTTATCACTGGCTTTCTGTCAATAAATGTGTGGG
The DNA here is from genome assembly GCF_000001405.40 of Homo sapiens. Lineage (NCBI taxonomy): Eukaryota > Metazoa > Chordata > Mammalia > Primates > Hominidae > Homo > Homo sapiens. Next base: position 25,448,572 of record NC_000005.10, on the reverse strand, counting down.
TCAGACTGTTCGTGGCTCTCAGCTCTGAAGGCTGTCAGCCACCTGATTCCCCCTTTATACTCTATTCCTGTGTCTTTGTCTTAATTCCTCTAGCGCTGCTGGGTTAGGGTCTCCACGACCAAGCTGGGCTCGGCAGGAGTATTATCCCAGAATTAGAAATGCTATCCTTGCACACTTCATGCTCAAACAGCGCTGCTTCAAATAGGCCTCCTTGCGTAGGAAAAGCCTAGAGTTGAAAGCAGTTAAGGTTTAAGAGGAGCAAAAGCAAACAGAGTTGAACATGCCCAGTGACTCAATCCCAAATTTGCAAAACAACTGTCACTTTACTTCTCCATGCATATTTAAAGTAAGGAAACAGAGAGGAACTGAAGCATGCCTAGGGGAACAGTTTTAGCATGCAAACTGGGAAATGGGGAGAGTTTTCCTTTTTAAAAATACATGCTGTTCCAATTAAGTGCTGGGTGCTGAGGAACCCTCTCTAATATCCCTAGATGGCTTTGCCACAAGCTCCAAATCACTATATAAAAAATGTTTAAAAATATAAGGTAGCATTCACCTGGAGTTCAATGAAGAATGGCATATAAACATACATATGATTTATTTATCACGTTAACATTAGCTATGCCAAGTGTTTCCAAAAACATACATAAATCTCAGGAATGAATTTAAATATGCAAAATGTAAATATGTTGAGTAGTACAGTATATATTCAAAATGTTATTATATATATACACAGAAAGATATACACAAATATGTACACATAAGTACATAAATATATATGTATAATATCTTAATGTGTACTCTGTACTAATATACATCTTTATTGTGTTTCATTCCCTTCCTGTGAATTATCTATTACATCCACCTTAAAAAAAAGTTTCACAAAAAAGCTCTAACTGTAAACTGATCAATAGAATCGGATCATTTCTATTTTCTTTGTTCCATTTTATTGTTTTTAATTATGATGTTAAATTTATGAGCCTTGATAGCTTGCATGCATTGCTGAAAGTCTCTGGTGAATAAGAATATATACATAGAAAACCTCAATACGAATATAGACAGACAAGTGCTATCTTAAAATTAACATGTAAATTTTAAGTGGAAATTCTTTTTTTGATATTTCAGCTTCTTTGCCTTTTTTAATTTTTAAAAAACCTAAATATGTATACTATTCAAGCAATAATGGTTTCATATTAAAATTTTACTTCCTCCACTCAGTAATTACTGATATTTTTCATAATGTTGATACAAATTAAATATCTATGTTTTAATGTATAATTTAGATTTAAATTGAAACGTAAGTGGCTTACCACAACATCAATACATATGTAGTAAGATCTTCATCACTTATTCTTATTGTATTCCTTTCAATGTGCACCAAAAATGCAAGTCTTATTGTCTAGAGAAAAAACCTTGTGTTGATGATAGTGGCTAAACAAAATATTATTACAGAAGAACATTAGTTGCTATTTTATTTACACAAATGAAGTTTTAAAATTAGAGTTAATTATATTTTGCTTATTGTTAAAATAATTTCTTAATTTTGCCTGATACTTCTTTTATTTTATAAATAGCTAGAAATATAAGGTTAAAAACAAAATAAGGAATAAAATAGCATATGAGTCTAATTCTCAACAGGTATCCCCTAATAAAATTGGATGTTATCTATAGATAACAAATAAATAACTGTAAAAAAACTCTATTAAAATTATTTGATAGAGAGCATAACATTCTGCTCTCTTGAGAATTGAGAGATGTAAAAGTGAAAACAAAATTTAGATTAAAAAATAAATAACCAAAAAATGTGATTTGTTTATTACCATGAATATAATTTTTAACAGTTTGACAAGTGCAATTGTGATAAATACATAGAGAAGGACTGAAAATATTTGGCATAGATCCGCTACAGAAATCGCACTAGTGAGCACATATTTTTTGTTTGAGATAGCTTAATTTAAGAAGACAGGCTTGTTTCTTTGAATTTAAAAGCTATCCTTTTACAAATGGACAGATGGTTCAAGTTAATTTATAATCTTTTTTTAAATGATGTTATCGTAGTGATATCTAAACTACAAAGTAAGTTCTCTGAAATTGAATCTGTACTGAAAGGATTGATAGAAATGATTTAAGTTTTCAGTTTCTACATTTAAGTGAATGTGGTTGCACAGAAAATCTACATTGATCTTCAGCCTTTCATTATTTCTCTAAACCTCAGTTTCATCATTTGTCAAAAGGGTTTATAATTGATTGAACTAATGCCTTTTAATGTAATAATTGCCAAGTTATTTTAAAATATACTTAAAAATACACAAAAGTTAATTGTGGTTTACAAAAATAACCGAGTAAGGTAATGTCAGGCCTCTGAGCCCAAGCTAAGCCATCATATCCCCTGTGACCTGCACGTACACATCCAGATGGCCGGTTCCTGCCTTAACTGATGACATTCCACCACAAAAGAAGTGAAAATGGCCTGTTCCTGCCTTAACTGATGACATTGTCTTGTGAAATTCCTTCTCCTGGCTCATCCTGGCTCAAAAGCTCCCCTACTGAGTACCTTGTGACCCCCACTCCTGCCCGCCAGAGAACAACCCCCCTTTTTCCTTTACCTACCCAAATCCTATAAAACAGCCCCATCCTATCTCCCTTCGCTGACTCTCTTTTCGGACTCAGCCCGCCTGCACCCAGGTGATTAAAAGCTTTATTGCTCACACAAAGCCTGTTTGGTGGTCTCTTCACACGGACGCGCATGAAAGGTAATGTTTTTCATATATTTTAAAAAATACACAAAAGTTAATTGTGGTTTACAAAAATACCTAAGTAAGGTAACGTTTTTCATTCTACATATTCTAAACTGTTTATACTGTATTGAATGTATTAGCCCTGGGGTCTACTCATGGTCTCCTTTGAAAAAACTGAAACATGCCTTTACAGTGAGGTATGGCGGTGTTCAGGGGAATGAAGGAATGGAGGGTCAAAAGGAAGTAAGGCGAGTCCCACATACAATTTTCCATGATCTCAAAAAGAGCAGAAATCTCTTGCCAGGGTGGGTGGAAGATGATTGAACAGCTGGATATAAGAATAATTGGCTTTAGAGAGAAGCTACAGAAGAAGTGATTCAGGAGAAGATTCAAGTAAATATTTCTGTCTACAAAAATAGTAAATTCTGGAAGATGATGTTAGAATGGTAGGTAGCTCCTTGCTTTAGTTACCTAAAAATGACTAAGGCAGAAAACGGAGGAAATCTTTGTTTTTCTTGAATGAAGCCATTCATATACAACTTTTTTGAACAACAAATGTTTTTATGATGGGTTACAATTGATATCAATTGGACTTAGATTGTATATCAGTTTTAGAAGTGTACATTGTTTTGATAGAATTTAAAAAAATGGTTTAACAAATGTATTTTGTTTGACCAAGGTACTGGATTGTTTTAATTGTTCTAAGTTTATCTTTAGACTCGTGTTAGGTACACATGTTTCCTTTTTTCTTATGATAGCACATTTCAAATATATGGCCAATTACAACACTAAAATATTTTCTAAAATTCCACTTGCTCACAACAAAACCACCACTGAAGGAAAGGAGTGAATTCTAGAATGGAGAGATTTAGTCAGGGAGAATCTAAATTTTGCTATGAATACTGCTTACATCTCCGGCTGATTCCAGCATGTATTCTAAGAGGCCAAATTTCAACTACAAGAACTAAATTCATATTTCAGTGCTACTACACACTATAGGGGAGGCAGAATTTAATTTCTGAAATGTTAGCTACCTATTAAAAAACCATTACTCTTTGGATGAACGTAGCAGAATCTAGAGTGCTTCTAACACATCACTCACAATATGTAGAATGTAATAAAATTTACTCAATGTTAGAGGAAAAGAAAATTATCTGTTCTCAAGAGAAAATGCAACCAATATGATCTTTAGAATCAGTGGGCAATGATTTTAAAATGTCCATTATGACTATGCTTAAAGAGGTGAAATAAATTGTGGAGGTAGTAAAAAAAATACAGGAAATCTCAGCATAAAAGTAGAATTAATAAAAAATAACTAAAAAGGAAATTTTAGAAACAGAAAAATAAAATAGCTGAAATGGAAAAATAAATACTCTATGAGATTAACTACAGAAAGAAGATGAAATAAGAATCAGTAAGCTATAGAAAATCAAAAGAAGTTATGCATTTCGAAGAGAGTAAAAAACAGATACAAAACAAAATTAAACAGAGTCATGGGATAATCTTAGATGGTCCAACATGCTTGAAATTCAAGTTGCAGAAGGAGAAGAGAGAAAAATGAAGTAAAAATATTGAAAAAATAATACTTGACCTTTTATTCAATTTGGTTAAATGCATTAATTCATGGGTTTAAAAGCTAGAACACCCTGGATCAACACACACACACACACACACACACACACACACAAACCGAATATCATTTTCATATTTCAATTACATATTTAAAATCTAAAAATAACATCCAAAATATATAGGGAGAGGTAAAAACCATTATGTATAGAGTGACAACAATTTCTAAAACACTATTGACTTCTTGTCAGAAATTATACATCCAGACACAACATCTTAAAGTGCTAAATGTAAAGAAAGGCAAAATGTCAATCAAGAGTTCTACATGAGTGAACATATTTTTCAAAACTGAAGGGGAAATGAAAACATTCTCAATTAAAATATTATATATTTTTTATCAGAAGACCTTCACTATAAGGACAGTTACAGCATGATTTTCAATCTGAAGAAAAATGAAACCAGACTGAAACTCAGCTACATAAGATGGTTTTACACACATACAAACACACACAACTTTTCTGAATTTCATAATCTTGTATATAACCGTTTATATCAAAAATTTTATGAAATTTCATTGAATTTATACACATACACACATTTTAGTAAAATTAAACTAATGAATATATGTTTTGTGTTGTGTTACAACCTTAACAATAATAAAAGTTTTATAAATAAGAATATACATTTAATGCCTGAAATTACCATTTAACTTAACTTAGTTGTAACTTAAACACCCATCTCCCCAAAACATACACACACACATACATATAGATTTCATTAAAATTATTTTAAAAATAAATTAATACCAAGAAGGCAGAAAAGGAGGATCACAGAAAGAGAAATAGAAAACAAATAATAAAACTCTAGACCTGCTATATATTATATGTTAATATTACTAAGTTGAGGAAACTTTCTCTATTCCTAACTTTATAAGACTTAAAAAATCATAAATGGGTGCTGAATTTTATCAATTCTTATTTTGGTATAATTTGATGTAAGCATGTGATTTTTCTATTTTAGCATGTTTGGTCTCAAAGCCCCTTAGCTGTCTGTTTTCTTCTTTCTATTCTTCAGAATTTTGTTATGTTTACATATAATGTCCAGGGTTTTTATCTAACCTCAGTGGGAAAAATAGGAAAAATGAATCTACTCCACTTCTTAGAAGTATTGTGCTTTTCAAAACATGGATCTTTCCCATTGTGGAGTATTAGATCAACTTTGTTAATTGTGTTATTGAAATCGTACATATTTGATAATTTCCTGTTTTATTTATAGTTACTCAGAGGTATGGTAAGATTTAAGATGTAAATTTTTTCCTAGTAATGCTGTGATTTGTGACTTTTTTGCTTTTTACATATTTTAGACTAAGTTATTAAGTGTATACATTAATAGTCATATAATTTTCTTTTTATTTTATTATTATTATACTTTAAGTTTTAGGGTACATGTGCACAACGTGCAGGTTAGTTACATATGTATACATATAATTTTCTAGTGAATTGTACCATACCTTATTTATAAAATAGTAACCTTATACCAGGATCTTCTTTATTCCCTAATAAAACATTTTTATTTATAGTGTGTTATTGTAACAAAATGATAGTCTAAAGCAGTCTTCTTTTAGTATTCCTTTGGTATATTTCTTGTCTTTAGAATTATATTCCTTTGCAATTATGAAAGATGTCACATAAGATCATGTTGCTAAATTATAAACTTATGTCATAATGCAATCTAGCTATCCCTATTGTTTAATCTACTAGTTAGGCACATTTGCATTTTTTGCCGTTTTGTTAATTGTTTTCTGTGTGATTTGTACTTCCTTTTTTCCTGTCTTGCTGTCTTCCTTTGTGATTTGTTGATTGTTTTTGTAGTGGTATTTGATTTATTCCTCATTATATTTTATAAATTTACTACAGTTTTTTTTTAGGGTTACCATGAAAACATGTTATAATTGTAACAGTCCATTTTAAGTTTAAGCTTATAACAACTTCAATTGCATCCAAAATATCTGCCCTTTTACTTAATCTCAAACCCCCTTTTATATTATTGATGTCACACTTTACATCTTTTGTCTTAAACAAAAGACATTTCTTTTTGACGCTGCTGGAGCTTCCTAGTGAAGGCCCTTTTCCTAGTATGAAGATGGTTGCCTTCTCACCGTGTCCTCACATAGCCTTTCCTTGCTGCAAGAGCATGGACGCAGAAAGAGAGAGAGAGAAATCCCTTTTCCTTTTTCTCTTGTAAAGCCACTAATGCCATGGTGAGGGCTCCATCCTCATTATCTAATCTCACCTTAAGTACCTCCCATAGGCCCTATGTCCAAATACCAACACATTGAGGGTGAAGGCTTCAGCATGAGACTTTTGATGGAACACAAACGTACAGTCCATGACACCTTGTCTTTTCCATGCTTCTTTATTTTCTCTGTGTGTCTTCTATTTAAATGAAGATAAAATATATTCACTATCTCTATACTCCTTTTTCTAAATAAAAGCCATAAAAGTAGATCTGGATTAGCTGGAATATCAACTTTTATCACAAATGAAAAATCTTTAATCCTCCCCTTGGGAGATACCACTTCTCCAATTCCTCTCCCACCTTCAAACTCAGAGTCAACTATTTAAAAATCTTAAGACTTTTAAACAGTTTACCACCTTATTCTATATTAATATATAAGACATGACAAAAGTTAACATCTGAAATTTATTATTTGCAAGATGTCTTGCATCTCTGAGTCTTTGATCTCATATAGAGTAGGAGCAATTGAAAAATGAAACCCTTGGATGACAGAAAAACCTCCTATCACTGAATAAAGGACTGAAATCATAGAACATTAAGGTTGCATAAATCTGACAGATTTCACAGTTGTATGCCTACTTGGACCCCAGTCCCTAATGAGACCAAAGAAAGGGCCGTTGAAACTCACCACTTCATTCTTAATGATAAGGGGATGGACAGACTATGGGCAACTTTTCTCCATGAAGCAGAGGTAATTTAAAACTCTCAACTACAAAAATTCTAAGTATCATAGTCCTAAATCTCTTATCAAAATGATGAGGTTCAATTTTGCTAAGTCCCTGTTAACAACCCAATGTTATGATGAGGAATAAAGAAACGAGATCACTTCTATTCTTTCTCTAGACATTTTATCTATAAATGCTGTTCCATGGCTCTTACATGTGCTGTTGAGTCTTTTACGTTTATTTACTCAACAATGCAAAATTAAAGCACATTGTGAATAGTCATAAGAAATAGGGTATTTTATTCTGCCATATATCAAGTTCTACTGAAAGCTGTAAAAATAACTTCGTAGCATAAAAGCAGATCAAACACAACAGTTGAAATTATGCAGAATTAGACACACAAATAAATACCCTTCATAAGGAAAAGGGTATTTTATTCTGGCATATATCAAGTTCTACTGAAAGCTGTAAAAATAACTTTGAAGCATAAAAGAAGATCAAACACAACAGATGAAATGATGCAGAATTAAACACAAATAAATAGTGATAAAGCATCTGAGAAAGGAAGCTTTCTAAATCAATGGCAAAATACAGAGTTCTCAGTAAATTAGGCTGAGATAATTGGAGCAATTTAGAAAAAAATATTAACTAAGATAATTACTATATTGCACTACAACAAATAAATCATAAAATACATATTTAATATTGAAAATGCATAAAATATATGTTTATTATCTTGAGATAAGAAATGGCAATTCATTCATTATTTTTTAAAAGCAACAAGAAAATATTGACAATCTTATAGGGACTCAGAATCAGTTTTCTATGATATCCTACAGACACTTTAAAAAATTATGTAGTTTTCAGTGTCCTAACATGGAAATATTTTGAGAACACATATTTAATAAGCAAATTAAATGGTAATTTAATATAACATTTAATAAAATTCTCAAGTAACATTTCTTATTTTATATATAAATATTTATATATGCAAACACCTCCAACATGATCTGCAAATAGATATATGAATATGAAAATAATTATCTTTAGAGAACAAACTGGTTTGGCTGTAGTATAACTTAAATATGTTAAATTTGTATATAATAATTAAAAATTTAAATATCAACAATATATGTTTGTATTATTGTTGTGAATACAATTAACACACATTTAAATTTATAGTTATAGCAATTTCTAAATTACTCAAAGCCTGATGTAAATAGCATATGATATAGTATTCTGCTGGAAAATGGAGGCTTGCCCTTTTCTCAGCAACAAAAGAAAACTTATCATGACATTCAAAAAAAATTGTTAAATATAGTAAATAATTAGCTGTTATAGATATATTTGAAATTTAATTTAAGGAGATGGCAAACATAATTAGAATAAACTACTAAATAAATCTACAATATTATAAAATAATTACTGTATTTAATCAATAACATAAAATGTCACTTTTTAAAAAATAAAAACGTAAAATATATGTTTGTGCATGTGAATATGCAATTATTTTATATGTATAGATATGTATTTTATTCCTTTCTTCGCTGTTGCTTTCCTATATTTGTTGTAGCCATAGCTTTCATGCTAGAATCCATTGAATTACAATTGAACTTGCTATGCCCTTCCTCTGGTGAACATGAAATATGAAGGAACTTCCAGTAAAATAAATGTCTAGAAAACCATGGCCTGGCCTATTATGTCAAGATAATGCCACGTAAAATAGCTACACTGACTATTTAATATGGCTATAGTCATTTAATGAATTGCTGTCAATGGATGTTTAATATCCAAGTTGAATAATGCAATGTATTTGTTAGCATATATTATTGCATCTGTTTCTGGGCGAGGAAGGAGATAACCACTTCTCAGGCAGAGCGAATAAAGACATGCCCAATTGCTTTGTGGGGAAACATTCCCAGTATTTATGGGATCTCTGGAAAATCAAGAAATACATTTATAGACTATAGAGAATTGAGATGTTTTAAATTGTCGGTTCACAACCAGGGTAGGTTTCCAATGTCTCCCAAAACACTCAGTCATTGCAGCTGGGTGTAGGGTGTAACCAGCATCTATCTGGTAGATGACAACAGCGAGGCCAGTCATCCTCCCACACACAGGGCAGCTTCCCACAACAAAGAAAGATTGGACCCGCAATGTTAAAAGAGCTGAGGTTGAAGAACCCTGATTATTTTCAACAAATAATGCTTTTTTCATAAACATTATTCTAACAATATAAGAATGCTTCAGATGTACATCGTGTTGATAAATTTCTTAACAATAGAAAAAATTAAGGCAAGCTTATATTTCAAATTAAAAATCTCTTGTATAACTCTGTTAGTCTTAATATGCCCACAGAAATATAGAAGAGGATAAAAAATGTCCAACATCATTAAAACCAGGAGGAATGAGGCTATCATAGGAATCTAAGTGGAATGTGTGTTTTACAAAGCTGAGAGAAATGGCCTAAAAGAATAAGAACTCTGAACCAGCATTATGCAGAGAATGACATATATAGCCTTTTCAATAAAATGTAGGTGGAAAAACAATTTAGCACTTTTTCACTGTTTGCCATTTTTCGTATATGCAATCATGAGTTGGAGCAGTATTTGCATATTTAAAGTTTAATAATGCTAAAGGAATATTTCTTATATTATCTCTCATGAAGTTTTATCATTTTAGAACTAATGGGAGGCTGGGCATGGTGGCTCACGCCTGTAATCTCAGTACTTTGGGAGGTAGAGGTGGGTGGATCACCCGAGGTCAGGAGTTCGATACCAGCCTGATCAACATGGTGAAACCTCATCTCTACTAAAGATACAAAAATTAGCCAGGCATGGTTGTGCACACCTGTAATCCCAGCTACTCAGGAGGCTGAGGCAGGAGAGTCGCTTGAACCTGGGAGGCAGAGGTTCCAGTGAGCCGAGACCACACCATTGTACTCCAGCCTAGGCAACAAGCAACAAGAGTGAAACTCTGTCTCTCAAAAAAAACCAAAAACAAACAAACAAAGAAACAAAAAACTATTAAGAGCATCTCTCTTGAATACATGAACACAGTAAGATTGAAAGTTGTGGACAGAGTTAAGAGCAGAGTGTTCAACTAGACTAACAATATTGCCTCGTGGCTTTGAAAGAATGTGGTCCGGAATCATTAACCTCTGTTGACAGGAACACAGGTTAGAGGAGTTCAAAGTCATGAATAACCAAAACTATCGTAGTAGGGCTGGGAAAATATATAATCTCTACCACTAAAATTATACTAGATGATATTCTGCAAGAGAGTTAGTCTGCAGACATCAACAGTTGGCCATTATAGATCATTATAGATAGCTGATGAGTGCTTATGTGGAAGAGATTGCCAACTCACGAGTTCTAAGGTTGGGATAAAGTGAGATATAGAGATGGAGAGAGAGAGTATGTGTTTAAAAATCTAAATTTTAAAATATCCATTTGAGTCAAAATGTTAAACTGGGCATAGTATAAATATCTATGTGTCTATGGGAAATTTATAGAGTAAATTGAAAATCCTAGTATTATGTAATATGTTCCTTTATCTTGAGGTTTATGAAATGTTCTATGAATTAATCTAGTAGCCAATAACTTGAGATACAGATTAATAATTCATAAAAATTGAATGGTTAATACACTGACACAGCCTACCACATATTAGAATTAAACTATTTCTGCCTGGTTAATGAGATTTAATGTATTTATAAAGGTTAAGAGTAGTATTTGGCATTATAGTATGTCGTTCGCCCTACTGTGGAGGAAAGAGATTCCAGTTTTACAGTTTCATCAAATGCGAGGTCACTATACTACATCTCTAAGGTAAATCACATATATGGTTGTTCAGAAAAGATATACAAAAATAGGCTCCCAATAGATTTAGAAAGAGGAAACAGAAAGCTGAATACTCCTGGGAATCTGCTCTAAAATTTATTAAAATATAGTCAGAGAGAAACTCACATTATCACTAATTATAAAATAACGTGATATGTGGTCTCTTATTTTGGATAAAAGCAACATAATTCAGCACAGTTACCATTCTTTACTCATCTTTCTGTTATTATTATTGTATTATACATTTATATCTACTGAGTTTTACATTTTAAAATAGTATTCATCAAGCAATAGATTATGATAAGAGTCCTGGTAGAATCAAGAGAGTCCTAAACTGGAGAATGCAAGAACAGGAAAAATGAGAATTTTGATTACTTGCTAGAAATTTCAATCAATATATTTTTTCAAGGTTCATATTTATGCCAGGAGAGAGGTTAAAAAGAAACCCTAAAGTTACCACTTCAAGTGTCCTAGCAAATGATATTTTTTATCTGAGAGAAAAAATGAAAGGATAATTGCGCAGTTAATAAATAGGGTATTATTATACTGTATATGACATTGTTTTTATTACTTTTTGCACTATATTGGCTAATAAGTTATTTTCAACTTGACCATATTTTAAAATTTATTTTGATGATCTTTTTTGAGAGCAGTTTTAGGTTTACAGCAAAATTAACAGAAGACACAGAGATTTCCCATATATCCCCTGCCCTCACACACACACAACCTCCCTTATTATCAACATCCCCCACCAGAGTGCTACATTTTTTACAACTGATGAACCTACATTGACACACCATAATCACCCAAAGGCCATAGTTTGCATAAGGGTACACTCTTGGTGTTGTACATTCTACGGTTTCGAAAACATGTATAATGAAATAGGTGGTAAATACAGTATTATACAGTGTGTTCTCACTGCCTTAAAATTCCTGTGTGCTCTGCCTATAAATATCCTCACCCCAACTTCCGGCAACCATTAATTTTTTTTTTTACAGTCTCTATAGTTTGGCTTCTTCCAGAATTTTTTTATGGGTGAAATCATACATATACATAGGTTATCACTAGCTTCTTTCACTTCACAATATGCATTTAAGTTTCCCCCATGCCTTTTGATGATTTGATTACTCATTTCTTTTTAGTGCTGAATAATTTTCCCTTATTTGGATATATTAAAGAGTGTTTATCCACTCACCTGCTGCTTCCCAGTTTTGAAAATTATCAACAAAGCTGTTGTTGACATCTGTGTACAGGTTTTTATGTGGACATAAATTTTCAACATCTTTAGGTAAAGACCAAATAATGTGATTACTGGACTGTATGGCAAGAGTACGCTTAGTTTCATAAGGACTGCCAAGCTATTAAACAAAGTGCACTCCCCCCACCAGCTATGAATGAGAATTTCTGTTTTTTCCCATCCTCACCAGCAGTTGTTGTCAGTTATCTGAATTTTGGCCATTCTAATTGGTGTATTGTGTCATTTTGTTGTTTTTGTTTTTTCTTAACTTGCATTTGCCCCTATTATATACATTGTGGAGCATCTTATCACATGCTTTCTATCATTTATATGTCTTCTTTGGTGCGGTGTCTGTTAAGATCTTTGACCCATTTTGTAATCTGGCTGTTTGTTTTCTTGTTGTTGAGTTTTAAGAGTTATTTGTTTTCTCATTGTTGAGCGTTAAGAATTATTTGTATATTTTAATGACAGTCCTTTCAGATATGTTTGAAAATTTTTTTTCCGAGTTTGTAGTTTGTTTTCTCATTCTTTTGACATTATATTTTGCAAAGAAGAAGTTTAAAATTTAAATGAAATCTGGCTTATCAATTCTTTCTTTTATAAATCATGCCTTTGGTGTTATGTTTAAAAACACATTGCCATATCCATAAGTTTTTTCCTGTTATCTTCTATGAGTTATATAATTTTGCATTTTATATTTAGGTTTATGATACGTTTTGAGTTAATTTTTGGGAAGGGTATAAGGTCTGCGTATAGATTCATTTTTTTTTTTTTTTTTTTTTTTTGCCTGTGAATATCCAGTTATTTCAATACCACTTTGGGGAAAGATTATCTTTTCTGCACTGATTACCTCTGCTTTTTAAAAAAATATTGGATCATTATATTCATGTGGGTCTACTTCTTATTTTTTAATGTTGTTTCATTAATCTATTCGCCCATTCTTTTACCAGGGTTACACAGTCTTGATTACCATAGCTTTATGGTAAGTCTTGAAGTCTGATAGTGGGTCAGTCTGCTGGCTTTGTTCTTTAGTATTATGTTGGCTATTCTGGGTCTTTTGCCTCTCCTTATAAACTTTAGAATCGGTTTGTTGATACTGACAAAATAACTTGCTGAGATTTTTGGGACGATTAAATTGAATCTATAGATCAAGTTGGGAAGAACTGACATCTTGATACCATCAACTCTTCCTGTTCATGAATTTAAAATATCTCTCCATTATTTAGTTTGATTTCCTTCATCACAGTTTTGTATAATAGTTTTCCTCATATAGATCTTCTATGTATTTCATTATATTTATACCAAACCATTTCATCTTGGGGGTTGCAAATGTAAATGGTATTGGGTTTTTAATTTCAAATTCTACTTGTTCATTGCTGGTATATAAGAGATGTATTGACTTTTGAATATTAACCTTGTATCCTACAACCTTGCCATAATCACTTATTAATTCTCGCTTTTTAAAATTATTCCTTCAGTTTTACTACATAGATGATTATGTCATCTAAAAACCAGGAAAATTTTGTTTCTTCCTTTCCAATATATATACCTTTTATTTCCTTTTTTGTCTTATCCCCATTAGCTGGAACTTACTTTTTTTAGTTACGTGGTCTCTAATTATGTTATCTATATTTTTATAAATCTGCTTTGAAAATATCAATTTTATTAGGTTTAATCATATAAAATTACCATGTTTATAAAAGATATTGAGAATTTTTACAGATTAATTTAATAATTAACTTTTATGAATCTGTTATATGACGGTTATAGGCACTACTGTTTTTAACTATGTGTTGTCCAAGTTTTCTTCTCTAAGTATTTATTTGGGTAAAAGTCAATCATAAATTATCTAATAAAATTATAACGTTCTAAAAGTCTTGCATTTTACTACAGAGTTAAAATATTATGTATTCACTAATTAAATACATTTTTTAGTGTTAAATGTTAATGCTTTCATTTTAACCAATAGAATTATGGTGATAGAGTGTACATTCTCCTCCACCACCAAATAGGTTAAAAGAAAACTGAAATGGGAAGGAAAATCAGCCAAACATAAACAAAAAAGAAGACAAGAGAAGAGTGGAACAAATCAGAGTTAAAAAAATAATTATAGGCCCGGCGCGCTGGCTCACGCCTGTAATCCCAGCACTTCGGGAGGCCGAGGGGGGCGGATAACGAGGTCAGGAGATGGAGACCATCCTGGCTAACACGGTGAAACCCCGTCTCTACTAAAAATACAAAAAATTAGCCGGGCATGGTGGCGAGCGCCTGTAGTTCCAGCTACTCGGGAGGCTGAGACAAGAGAATGGCGTGAACGCGGGACGCAGAGGTTGCAGTGAGCTGAGATCGCGCCACTGCACTCCAGCCTGGGCGACAGGGCAAGACTCCGTCTCAAAAAAAAAAAAAAAAAAGAAAAAAAAATTATAGAAAGGACTCCAAGTATATAAGTATTCACAATACATTAAAATAAACTAAATTCTACAAATAATCAGATTGGATATGAAGTAACACTTAGAAGAGTTTTCCTGAAGCTTAAGATTAAAGTTTTAAAAACAATGCGTAACAGACAAACACAAACCAGAAGAAAATATGTGCAGTTATATTAAAAACATGTAAGTAAATTTTACTACTGCTAAATTAACACAGACATATATGTAGGTCACTACGCATTATAATTGTTCTAAATAGCTAATGTAACAATCCTTGGCCCCTAGGAATTAATAATATATTTTTAAAAACATAAGATTAATAAAATAAAATTTGAGATGAAATGGACAAGTCCTTATAATAGATTTATAAGAAAATTTTCTCAGTGGCAATAAACTAATAAATATATTTGTGAGCATAGAAACTGTAAAGAGGTTATACTGTTTAAGATTATTAGGTATGAATTAAGCAGTCCTTTGATAGTACAAATAGTCTTTATAGAAACATTTTTTCATCAGTATATTACCTAAAATCAATTCATGTGGTGGGGTATCTATTAAAATTAACTGCTACTAAATAAAAATAGTTATTTTGTTAACATTTATATGCATTGATTAAATTAATGTGTTAGATTATTATCTTGAAAAGGGAATTTAATTAAAATTAAATTTACTATTTTATTAAAATCTGCATATACTATTAGATTTAAAATTGTGTATTTACCTCTCTACCTATCTATATTGCATCTTCTTCTCTGTGTTATGCAATTAGATAATTATTTTAAAAATCTGCTTGAAGACACTGGAGAGTTAATAAAACCTGGAAGAACCACCAGGTTAGGTTCTGGCGGAGGTTGGAAGGACCAGGGAATTGAGCCAGTATTTATATGCACTAGAATTTCTGGATTGAGAAACCATGGGTCTTAGTAACGCTTTTGGCAGCCTTTTGTAACCCAGAGAAATGAGAAGATTAAAGTCTGAGGCCTGCTAAAAATGCTATTAATAATGATAAATTTATTTCAGAAATTCAGTTTTGATTTAACATTGAATAAAACTTTCAAAATAATTCACCACTTTCATAGAATAAGGAGAAAAATCATGACCACTTCAATAGATGCAGAAGGAGCTTCGGATAAGTTCACAATTCATCTATGATTTAAAAGTAAAAGAAAATCATATTCAGTCAAGGAATAGAAGTCAAATTGCTTAATCCAATAGAGAAAACTACTAAAATATATAATGATTAAAAAGCAGCAAACATTTAGAAAAAAATAATGTTTCATAAAATCCACTTAGGATATAACTGAAAAATCAGAAAAGTAGAAAAAAAAACATAGGGAGAGATATATGAGACCTCAGAGAAAATAAAAGTGAGATAAATTAAAGCTCTATATAAATTAATCAGCATATAGATTAGAAGACAATATTTCAAAGACTTCAGTCCTTTCCAGATCTATCACTAGGGAACTCTTTTAAAAATGGAAAATAACAAGATGATTCTGTTGTATATAGGAATTCAACTTGGAAATTAAAATATTACTATATTAACTTAAAAATTGGGTCAAATCACAATGATTAATCAGTGTTAAAATTTGGCATGGCTTAGAAAGTTCTGGCATTACTATTTCAGTTGATTAGCAACTTATAAAACAATAAATTCACCAACTTGCATTTCATCTCCAAAAATTAGCATTAAATATGAATGAATGGAACTGGCATGGTGTCTCACACCTGTAATCCCAGCACTTTGAGAGGCCAAGGTGGGCAGATCACCTGAAGTCAGGAGTTCGAGACCAGTCTGGCCAACATGGTGAAACCCCATCTCTACTAAAAATACAAAAATTAGCCGGGCATGGTGGTGGGCACCTGTAATCCCAGCTACTTGGGAGGCTGAAGCAGGAGAATCGCTAGAACCTGGAAAGTGGAGGTTGCAGTGAGCTGAGATTGCACCACTGCACTCCAGCCTGGGCAACAGAGCAAGACTCTGTCTCAAAAAAAAAAAAAGAAAAGGTGAATGCTCAGTGGCCTCCTTGATCTGCAGAAGTGAGGCCACTGCCTCAGGATTTTAGGATTTGAGGGCTGCCATGCTGGTCATTTTTAATTTCTGGGTGACAATACTCTGAAATGCAGAACTTCATTTTGTGATAACTGTTTGCCCTCCATATTCGTGGGTTCCATATTCATGGATTCAAATAAGCCCAGAACAATAATACTTTAAAAAAGTTTTTAAAAGATGGTTGCATCTGTACTGAACATGTACAGACGTTTTTACTTCCTTGTCATTATTCCCTAAACAATATAGTATAACAACTATTTATAAATCATTTGCATCATATTAGGTATTATTAGTAATGTAGAGGCCATTTAAGGTATACGGGAAGATATGTGTAGGCTATATGCAAATACTACACCGTTTACCTAAAGGACTTGAGCATCTATGGATTTTGGTATCTGTAGATGGTGGTGACCTTGAACTAATCTCTCAGGAATAGAGAGCGATGATTGTATTTTTCCTCCATGCCGATTTTATTTCACAATAAAAAGCTTATAAGGCTCTGTCAGGTGATAACTTTTTAAAGGAGAATTTTTAGTAAAATTCTGAATCTGAAATTCTCATTTCTTGGTGTATATTTTTAAAGAACGTCTTGTGATTTGAACATTACTTGAAAATGTAAGTAACCTCAGCCATTTTAGAAGAAACGATTAGAGAGATTACTTATACATTATAAGACTGCTTATCTTACAACAGTAAATATTTCTTAGAAATTTATGTTAGGTAATTTGTTTTTATGCTATTAAATGACAACAGATCTAATATATACTCAAGAAAATATAAAATAAGCATTTATTTTAGTTTGCTATTTATCATTTTACTCATATCCTTAATATTACTAATTTTCTGAATTTCTGAAAAAATTATTCTGTATACTTTTATATTTAATGGTTAATAATAGTGCATTTTATTTTATAACTATTTTATGAACCTAAATCTAGAATTTTATCGTTTTGACTTGCAAATTTGATGAATTTTTAATATTGAATTAAGATAGCTTTAAGAGTAATTTTGACTCACAGTTGAGAGAAGTCTGCACTTAAGATGTGCACAGGCATGTATTTACAGAGTGCAAATTCTGTGATTTCTCCTACTTTCCAGCTTAATTATTATATACAGTTTAAGGGATTTTTATTTCCAATTTTTACTACATCATCATCATAAAGAAAAACATTAATATTTCTACTGTGATAACAAACAGGGGTTAGGCATTTGTGATACGTAGTTTAAGCAGCCCAAGACCTGAAATTACAAAAAATTTAAAATGCCTCAACCAAAAGCAATGATGGTGAATTTTTCCATAGCATCTCAATCTCAATTACATTTTTTTGTTTTCTTTCTATTTTTATAGAGAAAATATTTTTCCTGTAAGGAAAATGATTTCAAAATTATCATCCAAATGACTTATGGTCAATAAATATAAATACACATGTCATTTCTTCTTTTATGTGTGTAAGCTACATTTTTATTTTAAACCATTTTCAAATTTGAAAAGTTTAATAAACTGGACAATTTTCTTATCCTTACATTATTTCAAGAAGCAGATTACAAAGAATAATGCATCATTTTGGTTAAGTTAGAATACTATCAAATATGACTTAAAATGTGAGGGTATAAGAAGTAATTAAAGTATCACAGCTGCTCTCTGTGTGTGTGTGTGTGTGTGTGTGTGTGTATACAAGTGTGCTTTCATTCAATACACTCTGAATGTTATTCCTTTTTTGGACTCTGAATAAGTTAATACCCCTGCTTTATATAAGTCCCATATTCAATCTGTATAGTTTATTACAAAAGATAGGCAATAATCACATTTCCTGAGTTCGAAGAGTGCATGGGCATTATGATACATGGGCAGAGCTCAGGCTTCATCTGCATTACTGAAAAACCAGAGAACTACGCCTAATAACCATGAGGTATTCTCTTTTATTTCCTGAGACCTGGATTTCGGGATTAAGGCTGATGCCTCTATATAATGGTAAGGCACAGCCACAAATTCTCTTTGATATGTATCTGCTAGAAACTCAATACCTATGGTTTTAGTATTCTAGGAGGAATTTAGACTTTTCAAGCATCTATGGCCTAAATTCCTGTGAGGTACTTCTTTTTTCAACTTATAAAATAGAATATATAAACTTTAAAAATTTCAGCTGATTGCAGGGATTTGATTGTAAAGCCAGAAGAGACAATATCAAATTTTCTCAAAGAGTTAACAGCTCTATTTTTGTCACATATTCATCATAAAAGGATTTGGGAAATCTACCTCATTATCTTTTATTTTATTTAACTTCTTAGAGACTCAGAGTATAGGAGGAATATATATTTTATCACAGATTTTTGAACTGTCAGGAAAATTGTAAGATTCAATACAAGTGCTCCTTTTAAGTAATGTTTTATGACGATAATTGTAGAATGAATCATAATGAAATATTTGAAATGATATTTATATTTATTAAATATCCATCTTTAAAAATATTGTTCATTATTTTAATAAGAAAATGTATTTTTTTATGATATGGTCCCTTCCTGAGAAAAATAAGAAAGGCACAAAATGAATAATTTTATCAGGTCTGTTTTCTGTGAGAAGATGAATATATGTAGTTTTTGTTCAAGGAACTCAATTGCTTAAAGATTTATGAGTCACAAAGTAATCGTAAGAGGGTCTCTGAAGACCCACTAATAATAATACATACATAAATCTAGATTTTGACATCCTAGTGGATCTTTTTTATTTAAAACTTTCAGGTAAGAAGTCAGAAAATGTAATAGCATTAACCCCATCTTTAAACAATTTGAAATCCACAATAATTCTTCATTCTTATGGATTGTTTTATCACAACAATAGTATAAACATAAATCTGGACAATATACACTGTGGGAAATATATAAGGCATTTTTAAAGCTCACTTCTATCTTTCTCAGAAATCTCCTTTTAAATCACCACACTGACTATCCTGAATTCATTTTCTTTTAAAAAAAGAAAATTCTCAGAGACTTGAATTTTCAATAAACCAATGGCTTCTTTTAAGACCTCAAAGGCAATTAATCAATTTAATGAACTTCCTGAGCAATCTGTAGTGAAAAGATTCTTGAACTCGAGTCAAATGAAGATTTTACTTCTCTACTTACATGCTCAGAGATAGCTGACAAAATTTGAAAGAAAATGATTGTTTAGGTATCTATATTTTCTATATTCATATATTTTCACATTAATTATGATGTATTCCATAACGAAACTTCAAAACCTATCTTCTAAACAGTAATAAATTAGGACAATACAACCAGTTTTATGCCTACTTTATTTTTCCTGGTGACAGCTACCTGTTCTTCCCACTACCACTGCTACCAATATATCAACTACTCTTCCGATAGTAGCTCAACAACATGTATCTTCATATGACTCTTTAGAATACTTAAAACAATATTTTCACAGAATTCTATTTGGTGTGCACAACTTCTATGTCAGATGGTTGTAATTTCCATCTTTTTTTTCGTTTGTATAGGAAACAAACTGAAAACTTAATGACTCTCTCAAAACTATGTATTTCATTGTTTATCTGAAACTTCTATGTAAAATTTCACATCTCATATCCTGTGCGTGTGTGTGCCTGGACGCAGAAGTACTGGTCTAGAGTCTTAGGAGTTAAACCATTGTCTAACTTCATGATAGAATGTAGCGTATTGGAAATGTGATCTGCCCTATAGCTTAGAAATATAAGACAGGCTGCTTTGTTTAATTATCAAAGATCGTTCCCATTTCCTCATCTGTCATGATATTCAACAACAGATGAGATTAAAGTCATTTTAGTGAAGTAAGTGTATTTAGATATTGAATATTTCAGAATTGCATGCAGTCAATGGAAGCATTTAGAACAAGCCATTAATAGTACACTACCCTGTTGCTAAAATAAGAGTTAATGTATTTTGAATAAATTGTATAAAAGCTGCCGCTAAAATAAGAGTTAATGTATTTTGAATAAATTGTATAAAAGCTGCCTGTCATATCTGATAGAATCCATTTAGAAAGTTTATTTGAATGTCTGATAACATGTCTCCATTTATGTTATTTTAAATCTTCAATTTTTTTCAGAAAATATTAAAATAACTTGAAAACCACTGAGGTAAACTCATTTTATTTTTTCAGAGAGAAAAAAATGATTTCTTGCATAGCATATATTTTCTCTATATTTAGATATAAACATATCTCTTCATGCTGGCATATAAACATCAAAAAGCTAATAAACAGATTCTTCAAGTACTTATGATTCATCCTGGGAAAACACTGAAAAATGCCTTTCCATATTCATTGCTAGGTCACTACATACCAGTTAGAAAATTGCTGCTATAGTGTGCTAAAATAGTCATGTAAAGGAACTCTACAAGTTAAGAGATTGAATCATTTTAAATTACTTTTGTCAATTTTCCTCTGTGTTAATCTCATGGTGGAAAATGTCTATATCCTAATATGTTAATATGGTATTTTGTATCCTTCATTGTCATTTAACGTATTTCGTCGATTCTGATACTTCTTTTTCATATGAAATGCGTCTGAATTTCTGAATTTGAAATATACAATCAATAATAAGGCATATTAAACCTTGATTTTTAGCCTTTTCTTATCCTTAATGGTGCATAAAATAATGTTATGTGTTTCAAATTATCCTATACAAGGTATAATGATAAATGTTTTAGAAAGTATTTATACATAATTCTGTGCTTGGAAATCAAATAGAATTCATCTATAAATGCTGCTTTAGGATATATTGGTGTATATTGGCAAGCAAGAAAATACAATGTGCTGTCATATCTATGCCTATAGAATAAAGGAATAGAATTGTATAGAAAATAACCGGTGTGGGTGGTGCATGCCTGTAATCCCAGCTACTCGGGAGGCTGAGGCAGGAAAATCACTTGAACCTGGGAGACAGAGATTGCGGTGAGCCGAGATCACCCCACTGCACTCCAGCCTGGTCAACAAGAACGAAACTCCATCTCAAAAAATAAAAAAAATTGTATAGAAGAATAGGAAATTATGTCAGATATTCACATCGATACATAAAATACAAATGAGCAGATGTGTACAAAGACAATGTATATTTATTATTAGCCCTTAAAAACTTCAAAGATATGCTAGATATTTTCTCACTAATTTAAAGTTTAGTTACATGAAGTAATTCAAACCAATGAAAATATAAAATGTAATAATATCATGATTTAATTAAGATCTTTTAGATAAGACTTTTCTTGGAGTTTTTGAGATGTTTTTAATTCTTTCACGCAGTATTCTAATGCACTTCAACTCTTGCCAATATTATGGGGAGAATTGCTTTAGTGTCTTTCTGAACTACTTTTTATATTATTTAATTTGTCTCCCAAATTCTATTCTCTTATGATTTCATTTATTAAATCATTTTAGCAAAAATTTAAGTTATGTTAGCATAAGACCTACTTTGATATTATTTTTATCATAATTATCCTAGTTGTTGATTTTTACTCTCATTAAAGAAATGTTTATCAATCTTACTGCATATTAGAATTACATGGGTGGAGATTTAAAAACCCTGATATTCAAACTCCAATTAAATTATTGTAATATATTTTAGGTGTGACTATCAGTAATTTCAAACTTTTTTTACTGTGCAAGCAAGGCTGAGATTCCTTGCTTTAACCACTTTTGGCATCTTTTATGATTAAATTAAACCATAAACCATCGTTTTTTTGTTAAATTAAAACAAAATTTTACCATTTAATTTTATTTTTATTGCTTTAAAATTATAGATTATTTGAAGATGAATAATCACCTTAAACATATCTTTGAGTTTAATAAAATATTTTACATCAGTAATATTTTTACTGTTTTTTGGCATAATTGTTATAAAAAGCCAAAATGGGCAGATATACTGGAATCTCAATTATGTTCTAGTCACTTAATTGAAATAGCCATTATCTCCAAATTGCCAAATACAATAAACCTAGGATTGACAAACCATTTCTTAAAGGGGCAGTATAGCAAATACATTAAGGTCATTTGCTGTGTAGTCTCTGCTAGAGCTATTCAACTGTTTTGTTGTAGCTTAAAAACAGCCATAGACCATATAGAAACAAATACATGTGTATGTGTTCCAATAAAATTTTATTTACAAAAATACATGTCAATTCTATGTACCACGAGATCCCAACTTCTGAAAAAGCAATTATTGCTGACTTATTTGACCAGATGATTTACTAAAAATCGAACAATGCTTTGACTATCCCTTTCTTTGTAAAACCCATCTATTTTATCATCATTACCATTTACCTTCTCTTTGAATAAAATATTCTTGATTGTTTTTAAAAGATAAGCTTTCTTTGTCTATTTATTGAAAGATACTTATGAAGTCTAAAATTATAGCTACATAATTCTGGTTGTATTTTTTAAACTTGCGACCATAAAATCTATTACTCTTGCTAAAATTTGATTCCTGAATTCTAACATCAAATATTATTTAACTAGCATATACAATCCTATAGCAACCTTACATTTCACAGTATCCAAACTTAACTCACCAATCATTTTACTCTAGGCTTCTCCAAATTATAACTTAAGGCATGACATCTCCATTTATCTTTTGCTCAAATTAGAAACACAGAACTCTTGTTAGATCCTCTCCTCTATTTGATCTATTGCACTAAAACAAAAAGACTTTCTAATTCTATTTCCTAAATATACAGCCCCTCCTTTCTGTATTCAAACTTTCCTTCTGGTTAGTCAACTTATCATCTCTTTACTGAATTCTTACAATCATTCTTCACTCTAGCATCCTCTCCCTCAGAATTATTCATTGCACTGTCATCCATACACACTTGGTCAGATCACTCATTTTAATATTCTCCATTTACTTCCATAGCTTACATGAAGAACAAATTGCTCAGCTTTGTACACAATGCCCTTAATAGCCTAAGAGGGCTTTGTTTAACTCTTGTTTTTTTCTTTCTGTCTCTTTGCATTTCACATTCTCTTCCATTTTCCTTCTAGCAATACTGAAAATAATGGTCATGTAATGAATATGTCATGCTTTCTCATTATTCTGAGAAATATGCTAATTTGCATATGCTAATTTGCTAATTCTACCTCAAATATCTTTCTCTCGATATCCACATAAACAACTTTCTTCATTCCATGACTTGATTGAAGTTTTAAATATTCTAAGAAGTCTTTCTTACCATTTCTTTTTATCCATTTATACACTTGTATGTTTTATTCATTGTATTATTCTATAATACTCTGTTAACATATTGAAAACGAGACACTATCTTGCATTAACAAATTATTGGTATGTAATAAAATTTTAGAAATGTAATTGACACATAGGAAGTATTTTAGTAGTTACATTAATTGAAGGGTAATTAAAGGTAATATTGAGAAAATAAATGAATAAAGTATAAATTAGAATACTTTATCATATTAAAATGAGAAGATTCTACATATTTTCTTGCATTTATTTTTATTCAAAATCAAACTTTTACCTATTTAAGAGTCTGCCCCTTATTCTACATTTCTTATTTTAGGAAAGATGGTTGTACTAACTTCTTAGTAGAGTACATGCAATGAAACTTTATTTCTAATTTTCCATGGAAGGAAAAGCAACTTAGTTAAACAAACTTTTATTTATCTAACAAATATGATTCAAATATCCTTAATGTGGAAAAAAAATAGCTTACATTTCAAGGTGGTAATTGCTATTCAACATTTATTAGATACCTTCAAAGTAATTTTGAATATTTTCTGAGTGGAAATATTCCATCTTAATATTTAATGTATGACATATGCATAAGCTAAATTCTATTAATGCTTGTGTAAACACAACTATTTAAATAAAATTTTGGTCTTTTTTAATTCACTTGATTATATATTTTAGAATATCCTGAAACATAAATTATATACGTACAAACTATGTGATATGATATATATTATATACATATGAATGATGTGGTTACTATAACTAGACAATCTTGCAGACCAGAAAATTAACCTTCAAACTGGTTTTGTATGTATATTTATAGCCATGAACATTTTTGTTCAAATAGAATCTTACTTGAGAGACCAATATAGAACTATCCAATAAAAAAAAAATTGACAGGCTTAGAATCTTACTTGAGAGACCAATATAGAACTATCAAAAAAAAAAAAATTGACATGCTCTGTTTGAAATGAGGGTCAGAGGCTTAGAGCTACATCCACTGAGAACACATTTCTTAATTCACTGGTTAGCAAATAAGGAAAAATACAAGCGCTGTTAATATATCTACATTTTTAATATATTTGGAGACCCACACTTAGGTTGAGTCTCCAGTGCATACCCTGTTTTTGTTTCATGTTGTTTGAGGTTTATTACCCATGGTAGTGTAAATTGTTTGAAGAATATATTTCTGAGTGTTTTAGGATGCTGAGAGTTGGTTTAGTGGTATTGAAAGAATTATATCAGTAGTAACTACAGCCTAACAATTACTTTAAAATATTGTACTCAATAAAAAATTACATTACATATCACTGTTTGAGGACTATATTAATTATCCTATGATAAATAATTCGTTTTTCTATATTTGTAATAATTACAGAAGACATCTTTCATTACAAATCTTATCATAAAAAATAAAACAACTGCAGCCTTCATTGCTATAAAATATGTAATATTTTGGTTAAAAGATAAATTTAATACACATATAAATACTGTAAACTTTTCAGTGTCTTTATTTTTCTAAGAAATGGATATTTGATGGTTTCAAGAAAGATGACATTCAAATAATTCTCCTAAAAACAATTCAGAATTCATTTTATATCTGTTCCTTAAGGACTTAATCTCTTTAAAAATATTGCAGAAGGTAGATAATTCCAACATTTGTGTTTTTTAGAAATTACTTTTTTTCAAGAATGAGTTCATGTCCTTTGCAGGGACATGGATGAAGCTGGAAGGCACCATTCTCAGCAAACTAACACAGGAACAGAAAACCAAACACCGCATGTTTTCACTCATAAATGTGAGTTGAACAATGAGAACACGTGGTCACAGGGAGGGGAACATCACACAGGGGGGCCTTTGGGGGTGGGGGGAATAAAGGAGGGAGAGCATTAGTTAGGACAAATACTTAATGCATGCGGGACTTAAAACCTAGATGACAGGTAGATAGAGGCAGCAAACCCCCTATCTATACATATCTATGTATACCTATGGAAAAACCTTCATGTTCTGCACCAGTATCCCAGAACTTAAAGTAAAATAAAAAAAAAAAAAGAAAAACTCTTAAAAAAAGAAATTACTTTTTTCATAACAAAAAAACTTTAATTTTATATTTTAAAGGGAATTTTGATAGTTTGTAATTTAGAAAATTATTTTTAGGAAAAAATTTAGTGATTTAATTGCTTCCACATTTAATTGCAAATTATGAATTGGTCTGTAGTTTAAAATTATATATTATGGGATATATTATATTTGTATTTATACATACACATGTAACTACAGAGTGTTTTAACTCACAATCTGCAATATAAGGTGATTTAAATAGCATATGTCATATCTATCTTTACCTACAAGTAGCTTAAGCAATTAATGTATATGTGAAATATACATAAAATTAATTTAAAATGTGGCAGATAAACCATTATAAAAAATAGAACTCAAGTAGCACAGAAGCAGCCAGAGTTATTACTGCTAATTGTACTGGATGGAGGTAACAATATCTCAAATTTTTATTATTTTTCTTGATTTTTCTGCTATATGCAGTCATGCAGAACTTAATGATGAGAATAGATTATGTTAATTGTATCATTAGTCAATCTAATAATTGTGTTAACATCATAGAAAGTATACACACAAGCCTAGAAGGTAATAGCTTATTACATACCTAGCCTATACAGCATAGCCTAGTGCCCCTAGGTTACAAATGTGTACAGAATGTTACTGTACTGAGGCCGGGCGCGGTGGCTCACGCCTGTAATCCCAGCACTTTGGGAGGCTGAGGCGGGCGGATCACGAGGTCAGGAGATCGAGACCATCCTGGCTAACATAGTGAAATCTCGTCTCTACTGAAAAAAAAAAAAAAAAATTAGCCGGGTGTAGTGGCGGACGCCTGTAGTCTCTGCTACTTGGGAGACTGAGGCAGGAGAATGGCGTGAACCCGGGAGGAGGAGCTTGCAGCGAGCCGAGATTGCACCACTGCAGCCTGGGCGACAGAGCGAGACTCCGTCTCAAAAAAAAAAAAAAAAAAAAAAAAAGTTACTGTACTGAATACTGTAAATAATTGTAACACAATGGTAATTATTTGTGTATCTAAACATAGAAAAGGTAGAGTAAAAAACATGGTATAGCAGATAAGAAATAATGCATCTGTATAGAGTACTTACCATGAATGGAGCTTGCAGAACTGGAAGGTGCTCTGTGTGAGTGAGTGAGGGAGAGGTGAGTGATTGTAAAGGCCTAGGACATTACTGTACACAACTGTAGGCTTTATAAATACAGTACACTTAGGGGACACTGAATTTATTTTTAAAAATTCTTTCTTCAATCATAAATTAACCTTACTTTACTGTAACTCTTACACTTTATAAACTTTTATATTTTTTTTTTACTTTTTGACTCTTGGGTAATAACATTAGCTTAAAACATGAACACATTTTACAGCTATACAAAAATACTTTCTTTTTTATATATCCTTATTTCATAAGCTTTTTCTTTCTTCAATTTTTCAATTTTATTTAATTTTTACTTTTTAAACTTGTTGGTTAAAACTAAGACACAAAAGCATTCATTAGACTAGGTCTACACAGGGTCAGTATCATCAGTATCACTGTCTTCCACCTCCACATCTTGTCCCACTGAAAATTCTTTAGGAGCAATAACACAATGGTGCTGTCATCTCCAATGATAGCAATGCCTTTTTGAGGAATGCCTCCTGAAAGACCTGCCTGAGGCTGCTTTACAGTTAACTTTAAGAAAAATAAGTAGAAGAAATACACTCTAAAAGAACCATAAAAAGTATAGTATTGTAAATACATAAACCTGTGCAATAGTCTTTTTTTATCATTATGTACACATAATTATATGTGATAGACTTTTATACAACTCACAGTGTAGTATGTCTGTTTATACCGGCATTACCACAAACATATGGGTAATGTGTTTTGCTATGATGTTATGATAGCTATGATGTCACTAGGTGATAGAAATGTTTTAGCTCCATTATCATCTTTTGTGACCACTGTCATATATGCAGTGCATCACACTGTAGGCAATGCATGCTATGTGGCACATGACGGCACATATAAATATATATATTTTACAACTTTTACATAACCTGTACATGTGCTTCATAAGGTATAATGTTTGATTTTACTCATTTTCACACTTTATAAAAGAGTCCATATTCATATATTATTTTCTATTTTTTATTTTTCTGTTTTTATTCATTACAACATTTAGAAGATGAATGTGGATCCTTTTAATTCAAGATAATTTAACCTTGCTTCTGTAAAGTATTCAAATTTAGTTTTATTCAAATTGATTTATTACAGAATAAATCAATTCTATAAATGTGTTTTCTTTACCCTATATTTAGCCTTTTTTGAAACAGGAAAGTGTTTTTCTTCATTGTTTATTTAGTGATTCCACTGCACAATCATATTGTTAGAATTAATTGAAAAAATACATAGAAAGCTGCATAACCCAGAATAGTTTAGGCTTTGTTGCTGTAACAAACAACCTGACCCTCTCAGTGGTCACATGCCTACTTACTGTGGGTTAGCATAGCACTCTGCTCCAAATTTCTGATACTGACGAAGATTCCCATATTGGCATACGCTTTCAATATTGCAGAAGCAAGGGAAACCATGGACTAGCTCTGAAACTTCCTGACAAATGAGGAAGGTCACTTCCAATGACATTATTATCTAGGAATTTATGAGCTACATTTGATTGTGGAGACTATATATTAAGATTTGGTATTATTTATGCTGTATATTGTTAGTATACAATGCTATATATTGAAGGGTACTGTGTTTAGAAAATTTTGGAAGATAAGGTAAATACACGAAATACACATAAAATAATATGAAGCTTTGAGCAAAGGGCATAGACTTTTATTTCATCTTATGACTGCATTAATCCTATTAATCTGTCTCTTTACCAAGAGATAAATCATGCGCATCTACTCTTTGTATATTGTTAAAATGTGCTTATTTCTGATGCATACTGAATGCATTTGTCTACTCTCTTATTAAGGATTCACAACTAAAAGTTAGCTTACGTTACAAGTGAGTTAGCATGATAAATGATTTTTAATTCATGAATTTATGAATACTGATAATAAGTATAACACAGTAATTACTTTGAAAATTCCAAATAAAGACTTTAAACACTACATTGCTGTGGAGAAAATGGTCTACTCCTAAAAAAAATGTAAAAGACTGAGGTTTATTGATAAGATAACATAAATGGGATGCGAACCTTGAAAATACATTTTCTGGGGTACTGTCTTTACATGCACTGTGTTAAACAGGAAGCAATTTCTAACACCCACGTCAATTTTTAACATCTGCACTGCTGTGGTAACATAGTGATAGCATAAGACATGGCAGAACAGAAGTAGGAGTAGGGCAAGAGGAAAATGCTAGTTAAAATATGAATATTTCCACTAGAATAACTATAACTACACCACTACTTTCCAACCTAGCTTATTATTCGGTCTGAATTTCTATAAAAGTATCTAAATCCATTTTTCATACTATAAACTGGTGGTTTACAAGCAGCAGAAATTTATTTATTTTTTTTTACATTTCTGGAGGCTGTGAAGTTGAAGATCAAGGTAGGGTCCACTTTCTAACAGATAACACCTTCTCACTGTGTTGTCAGAGATCTGAAGAAGTAACAAGCTCCCTCTGGCCTCTTTTATAAGGACACCAATCCCATTCATAAAAGTAGAACTTAATCACCTCCAAAGATCCCCACCTACTGATACCATCACATTGGGGGTTAGCAACTTAATTTATGAAATTTGGGGGAGCATAAATGTCCACACTATAGCAAGAGCATCACATGGCATTTGATAGGGTTTGGATCTGCACCCAACTCTCATGTCGAATTGTAATCCCCAATGTTGGAGATTGGGGCCTGGTAGGAGGTGATTGGATCATGGGGGCAGATTTCCCCAGTGTGGCTGTTCTCATGTTAGTGAGCTTTCATGAGATTTGGTTGCTTAAAAGTGGGTAGCACCTCCTCCCTCCCCTTCCTCCTGCTCCAGTCATGTGAAGATGTCTGTTGTGGCTTTGCCTGGCATCATGAGTAAACGCTCCCTGAGGCCTCCCCAGCATGCTTCTTGTATAACCTGGAGAACCATGAGTCAATTAAAACTCTTTTCTTAATAATTACCCAGTCCTAACCATTTCTTTAGAGCAATATGAGAATGGACTAATACAGCCTTCTCTGTAATTAAATAAAATAAGTAAAATAATAAACCAGTAAGGCAATGTACAGTAGTTATTATATATGCAATCCTTGGAACAGTAAATCACTTGAAAACATACCTACAATAAACTTGGAAGACACCTTTGAAGCAGCTCCATGCTACTATTGCACTACTTATCCTATAGATGTTGGCTAGACTGGATCCTCGAAATTATAATACACACTTACCTAAAGTCTCAGTCAAATGCAAGCATCATAAAAAAATTTTCAAAAAATCAGATATAGAATCCTCCAATATAGAACTTATGCAGTGAGATTGCTTATGTTTCAGCTCCCTTAATTTTGGCCTCTGTGCAGCTTCGAGTCAGCAGCTCATCTGTACTTACTTAATGCTTTCATTTTCAAAGTAACTTAGTAAATACGACATATAGTAAATGTGAAAACACAACAACTCATGAATACAGTGGTCTAGTATTATAAGATCAAAACCTAAAAGCAGTCATCTAGGTTCTTTATAAAAAGGTAGCTTCCAGGCTTTATTTTGGGGGTTTATGTGTCCAAAGTAAGTCCACAGTTATGATCAGTCTACTGTAATTACTATAAAGAAAATCAGATAATATTACCAAAATTTTCAACAAATATGAAGGAATTCATTTTAGACAAACAGTTGGTCTTTAGGAATTGTCATTCATGTGAGGAAAGGGCTGTACCCATCTTGAGAAAGTAATTAAAGAGCCCAAACTCCTGTTGAAGATATTATTCTAATCTGTGGAATTAAAATTCTTACTTTAAATATTGATAATTTGCCTTTAAATTGCTTATTAAAATGTGCTTAGGTCTGTAGAAAAAATATTTGCTAACAACAGTAAATATGAAAGAAAAAATTATTTAATTAGGATTCTCCAGAGTAACAGAACAATAGAATGTGTGTGTGTGTGTGCATGTGTATGTGTGTGCAAGAGAGAGACAGATTTGTTGTAAGGAATTTGCTCACACAAACCAATCAAGTTCTGAGGTCTGCAGTTGACAAGCTAGAGACCCCGGAAACCAATGGTGTAGTTCCAGTCTGAGTCGAAAAGCCTTAGATTCAGGAAAACTAATGCCTAGTTCCAGTTTGAATGTCAGCATAATTGACACCCAGGAATAGCCAATATTTTAGTTTGAATCAGAAAGCAGGAAAAAAATGGATGTTTCATTTCAAAGTAGTCAAGAAGAAGTTCCCTTTTACTCACGGTGGGGACAGTCATTTTGTTCTATTCAGATCTTCTGCTGATTGGATGAGGCCCACCCCCTTTAGAGGATGATCTAATTTACTCAGTCTACAGATTCAAAGGTTGATTGCGTGTAGAAACACTCTAAGACACATCTGGAGTAATGTTTGTCCAAATATCATGACACCCTATGGCCCAGTCAAATTGACACATAAAAATAACCATCACAATTATGCAGTAATAAAGTTAAAGTGTGTATATTAGCATAAGTGTTTAATTTCTTTCTGATTACAGATTAGTCGATGAACCTCTTAAAATATGGGAAATGTGGGCGGGGCGCAGTGGCTCATGCCTGTAATCCCAGGACTTTGGAGGCTGAGGCGGGCAGATCACGAGGTCAAGAGATGGAGACAATCCTAGCCAACATGGTGAAACCCCGCCTCTACTAAAAATAAAAAAAATTAGCTGGGCGTGGTGGTGCGCACCTGTAATCCCAGCTACCCAGGAGGCTGAGGCAGGAGAATCAATTGAACTTGGGAGGCAGAGGTTGCAGGGAGCCGAGATTGCACCACTGCACTCCAGCCTGGCGACAAAGTGAGACTCTGTCACAATCAATCAATCAATAAGGAAAATGTGGAAATAGCAAAGAATAAATTCTACATAAAAAAGTTAAGGACCTCGAATACATGTAAAATATATATATACTATGACTAACTTCAGGAGTCATAGGAATGTCTTGAAAGGATACCTGGGTTTGATGAGAGTTTAAGGCAAAATTGAACAAGCATTCCTAAGGAAAGGCAGGCACTGAGACAAATCCAATATCGATACCAAGAAGCAGTGGCCACGGATGTAGCTTCTGGTTTATATCGTGTTATGGCCCTAGTATGGAGACTAGACTGCCCCCAAATTTAGTTCAGATCTTGAGATAGATGACACCACATGCAAACCGAGAGGATACGAGAAGTTCCGTAACTCACTAGTGAGACTTCTGAGTCTCATTACAGCAAAATAAACCTAAGCCAGTCTGAAAATGGCACGAGAATGCACGGATAGAAGACTGGCATAGGTTTTTATGATGTTAAGGGGATGGAACTGGGTAGCAGCTTCCTATGCCATGACAGCAGCATGTGTGGTTTGAAATTATAACTTGTGTCAAAGAAGCACTCAGACTTTCTTACCAGCTTGCCCAGAATGAGGGATAAAAGGGTAGTGGGAGAGTTGACGCTTAAAAGCCATCAGCAGCCAAATATCAAAAATTGAGGTCCTATATGATACACTGAATCTGATTAAAATGCAGGTGTCCGCATTTGGTACAACGTTCGTCAAAGAGGATGAGGTTACCGGGATTGTCACTGATGTGTTTAAATGACTGCGCCAGCCTCCAGAGAATAAGATCTGTATTCATTGATTCATTTAACCAATATTCAGGTGACTACCACATGCAATACCACACTCTTATCTAGGCAACTTGAGTCACTGAGCTCAGTCCAGAATCTTGATGACTGAATGGAAACACCAAGGAGGTGGGTGGCTCAAGAGCACGAGAGCTCTTGTTCCATTTTCTTGCAGTTTCTTTGTAAGCATGGAATCTTTTAATGTGTCCTGTGGTGTTTAGATTGCTCATAGACCCTAACATTAGAGTTAATTCTTGTTCAGTTTTGGTAGATTTTAGTTCCATTGGAGACTAATGAGAACACTGAAAACAAAGCAAAAATAGAAGAATAGTTATTCTATTGGCAGAAATGGCAAACCTAGTTATAAGTTATCAAAATTAGAATGTAATTAAAGTTATTCTGATAGTGATACTGAAGCTATTTATTCTCATAGTACTGTTTTATTTATGAATTTGAGCTATTGTTATTATGCAAAGCTAATATTTACATGTTTTTGTTTTGTTCTGTTTTACTTTTTCCATTATTTTTCTAGGCAAGGAATATCAAGTAATAATCATCTAGGCAATGGCATCTATTTTTTTTTTCCATAGGTCTCATAGTGTTAAGATTTCCTTTATGGTCTTACTCTTATCTCTCTGTTTTGTCTGTGTGTGTGTGTGTGTGTGTGTGCGCGCACGTATATGTGTGTCTCTGTGTGTGTGTGTGAGAGAGAGAACTGTCTTTAAATTAGCCACACTATGACTCAATGTAACATGTTTCTCCTGTGACTCAGTGAACATAACAATAAACGTGGAGTTATCAGACAGAGGCATGACTTTTGCTCTGTACTTGCTAGCTGTTTATAGTAAGATAAATCAGTTAATAAAAAACCTAAAAAGTAGTATCTTTTTTTCTGACACCACTTGCCTTTTATTTCTGGGCTACAGCATCTTCACGCGTATGAAGGATTTAGCTTAGTTGACCTTTCAGGCAACATCCAGAAGTATAGCTTAAAATACTATAAATCACTTAGACAACATGCTGGTGGGACATAAGATTTATTTAAGATAGGAAATCATTGATTTCTTCTTTCTTGTTTGCTTTTTGCTAGTGGGTCAAGCAATCACTATCCAGAATTAGAGTTTAGAAATAATATATAACACAAATTTATTATTTGGACAATAATTTGAATAAACAATATTGATTTCAAATGTATTAGATATATCAATTGTAATTAAAAACTAAAGTATTGGGTATCTGTTGATATTGAGAGAAAGAGTCTGGCATAGTAAAATGTGCTTTAAAAATTAGACTAAAGAAAAACAACATATTTTCAACAGATATAAACTTGATTTTCAATCCTTGAAAGTATAAAAAATTATAACAATGTTAATAAACTGTATTTGATTGCTTTTTAGTTGTAAAATATGCTCTATTAGAAAAAGCCTATTAAAATTATAATCCAACAAAAGTAACTGTTTTTTCTAATCTTTGAATTATTATCTTCACTGCATATTGCACTATAATTTATATAGTATTATTTTGTATGTATGTATATCATATTATTATGTATATATCTCTTTTGTGAGGGCTGATCTTACAACTTAACACGGGTTTCTGAAGTGAATTGTATTAGTAAATTATATATATATATATAGAGAGAGAGAGAGAGAGAGAGACTATAAAGCATGAAATCAAAGTGAACTTCAGCTACTCAGTTATGTAGAAAGACAAAAAACATTATCATATAAGGATATGTTATTCATATATCTTAGCATCAACAAAAATCCATACTTGGGGGTAGTTATCACATAAAAATAAATTTAAATTTATTTTTTAAAGTTTACAAACTTATAATAATTACTATTTTATTCTTCAAGAATACATGAAGCCGGGCACAGTGGCTCACACCTGTAATCCCAGCACTTTGGAAGGCCGAGGCGGGCAGATCACCTGAGGTCAGGAGTTCAAGACCAGCCTGGGCAACATGGAGAAACCCCGTCTCTACTAAAAATACAAAAATTAGCTGGGTGTGATGGCACGAGCCTGTAATCCCAGCTACCTGGGAGGCTGAGGCATGAAAATCTCTTGAACCTGGGAGGGGAGATCGCGCCACTGCCCTCCAACTTGGGTGACAGAGTGAGGCTCCATCTCAAAAAAAAGAGTACATGAAAAGTTCCCAAATCATAAATCAAAAAAAATTGTTTGAAAGTTTATTTACAACCAACATCTCATTTCCCCGTAAGTCTCCATTTCTTCTCATATGCACTGCAGATAACAAAACCATTGTAAACTCTATTTTTCTCCCCTTCTCACTGTGATGTTTCATAAGTAAAACCTAGATTTTCCCAGTGCAGACCTCCATTTTACTCTTGAAGACATAGGTCTGGTAACTTGTGGCTAGGAAAATGAGGAATAGAAAAATAAACATTTTGATGCCTGATTGTTTGATATTTTAAACAATTGATTTTGAGAGTATTAATATTTTTAAAAAGATAGTAAAAAATGGAATTTATGTGTGCCAAATCATTTTTGTAATCAGGCCTTCTTACACACACAATAATATACACACATGCACTTATATACACAGTTCTAGTTTTTGTTCCTGTGTTGTTTACTATGGCATTAAGATATAATCAAAATAAATGATTTGAATGTCCATGAAGAGAGATGATTGACTAAGTCACTAGTCACGGGATGCATTTTCATTACCTATTAAAAGATTTATGTTACATAAAAATAATTTATCAAAAAACCAGTAGGGACTCATTGGGGAAAAAAGTATCACCTGTATGCATAATTTGTAGATATTTGTGAGAGACTGTACCAAATTTTTACTTGAGATTTAAAATTAAGTTCATACACTTTTTAATATTTCACTTACTGTAATTGCATGTGTTACATTGACATTTAAATGTAAACTTCCAGTAAAAAGAAAAATAAGAAAGTAAGTTAATAAATGAGTGTATGTGTTGGAAGGGAAAGGAATTTTGAGAGCAGTCTGAGCTCTCTGCTGATCTCTTGGTCTAACACAATGGAATGGGATGTGCACCCGTGGAGTAAATCTTTGGACCTACCTCACCTAGCACACATAACACATTAGGAATTAATCACAACAGTTCTGGTCCAGATAATATATCATGATCCATATTTGAATACAAAATCTTTCTTCCCATATTAGTAGGGTGTAGAATATGAGAATTGCACCAATGCCTTGAGATTTTAGCAAATATTAATAACAAGAGGTCTGGGATTTTGGTACTTGGCACCCTAGGCTGACCTCAGCATTATCAAGGTGAGTATTTGTGCCAGTAACTCAAGTGGTTTTGAGAGCAGCAGATAAAAAACATAGTGGATATATGTAATAGCTAACAAGACTTTTGTGTGAACACGAGGGATCTTCAAGAGGTACTGCAAAATAATTAGATGTGTGTGTTTGTGTATTGCTGTGTGCCTGTTGGTGTGTGCATCAGTGTGTTTTAGTGGAAATGAAAATTTCACAATACTATGTGAGGACAAGTGTCAGTGAAATTAAGAACTATGAAGTTAATCAACA
Source organism: Homo sapiens (assembly GCF_000001405.40). Lineage (NCBI taxonomy): Eukaryota > Metazoa > Chordata > Mammalia > Primates > Hominidae > Homo > Homo sapiens. The sequence continues at coordinate 25,412,168 of NC_000005.10, read as the reverse complement.
CAAACCAATTTCGAACTCTCAGTGGGTAGGCCTAGGAAACATTGTTCACAAATGTAAAATTGATTTGATTGAATTTTTACTTGAAAAAGAAATGTTGCTTTTATTATAAAATGATTCTGTTCAATAGAAAAGAGAAAGGAAGTGAATTCCTTTACACATTGAAAAATTTTAGTTATTACTATTTACCTGGCACTTAATTCCTTAATCTCTAAGTTATTACTATATTGATTTAAATATTATTATACAATTGTGTAGATTTTAGAAATTCTTCAACTTTGAAATATAGGAAATTCATCAATGGAAAAGCCCAGAGCTGATAGAAATTTTCATTAGAATCAACCTTATTTAATTTCTATTTGAGTTTCTACTATTTGCTTTGCACTGAGTTGGGAGCTCATTATCCAGTAGAATGCACCAGACAGGGTAGGCTGTTATACAAACTGGAAAACAGCACCATCAGCATTCACGGGGAGATCCCAGCAAAGTGTGTGAGGTCAGGAAAGACTACTTTCAGGAATGGCCTTTGAGATGAGGCATGAGTGATGGGCAATTGTGGAGGAAGAGTGCTCCAGGTAAATGAACTATCATTTGAGAAACACAAAGGAATAAAAAATGTGTGAGGCACAGGGAGGGGCAAGGATAAAAACAAGGAACAAGGAAGAAGAACCTTGGGTCATGGAGGCCATACTGAAGTCACTGTTCTCCTTCATAAAAGCAAAATACAGACCCTGAAGAGAGGGAGAGAGAGAGAGAAACTCTGTGTGTGTGTGTGTGTGTGTGTGTGTGTGTGTGACAGAGAGAGAGAAAGAGAGCGTAGCGTGTGTGTGACATAGAGAGAGAGAGACAGAGACAGAGAAATTGAAATATAATACATAGTGTATTATAGGTTCTCGACTAATTTTCCCAAGCATCTCTTTGAGCTGCTGGGGAAATACGTATAAAAGTTTGTCCCAAGAGAGAGAAAAAAAAGTTTCTGTGTGAGGAAAAAGAATTTAAAAACCACACAAACACCATACACAGGGTAAGCGATACAAGAATGATGATTCTTTTAATGACCAACATAAGTAAAGATAAAGAGATTATGCGAAATACAGGAAAGTATCTAGTATTGCTGTCAGAGAGAAAACTGCATGAAATATGTATTTCATAGTTCTATTGTTTAAATACATCTTATCTATGTGATTTAGAAATAAGCATTTAAACTACAGTGTAACAACTTGCGAGTTATTTTGGTCTTGAGGGTGCATGTGTCTTAAGAAGTTGCCAATGTTATGCATTCCACTTTACTGCTTGTGAGGCTTAGAGCAAATTATCACATTTGCTTAGAGCAAATTGATTTTTTCATTCATATTAATAGTATCTATTTAATAAATTTGATTTAATGATTAGACATATTTTAAGAAAAATGCACATTACGTAGGAGGCACTTGGTGTATGTCAGGTGTACTATTGCTTTATTAATTAAAAAAATATTTTTCCTAGTACTGTCTTGATCTGAGTGGTATAATTACTTCTTATGCATAAACATAGAGAATGAAAATTTTGCAGAGATGTTATCATTTTATCCCACTACTTTTCCTTACATGTTTTATAAAACTGTATAAAATATTTATTTTATCACTCTACTGTTTAAATACATCTTATCTATGTGAATTATGAATATGCATTTAAACTAAACACTGTAACAACTTGTAAATCATTTTGGTCTTCAGGGCACATGTGTCTTAAGAAGTTGCCAAAAAAATGCATAAGGCTTTTCTAGCATCTCAGGTGAAATTAGGAATATTTAATTACATGTCATTGAACATTAACAAAATAATGTAAAGGTATGCCATGCAAAATGCACTTAAATTGTATTCTTGCTTTATATAGAACACAATATCCAAATAGGGAAAACTGCTTAAATTAACCAAGTAACTAGCATTCATGTATCATAACATTTATTTTTCCTATTTATTGTTTGGAATTAGAAGTTTTCTCATAGTATAAAAATGTTAAATCATAGTGATTTTGCTTTTGCATGTGGAAACATAATCAGAATCTCTAACTACCAACAAAGATCAAAAGTGCCATTTTCTCTCAAAAGTCTACATATGTTTGTAAGGAGGGAATTTTCATGAAGGCATGAATTTTACTTTTATGATTATCACTTGCTGTATAAGAAACTACTTTATTCATATATTTGTTGTCTGCATAAATGTCTTCTTTTGAGAAGTGTCTGTTCATATCTTTTGCCCACTTTTTGATAGGGTTGTTTTTTTCTTGTAAATTTGTTTAAGTTCTTTATAGATTCTGGATATTAGCCCTTTGTCAGATGGATAGATTGCAAAAATTTTCTCCCATTCTGTAGATTACCTGTTCACTTTGATGATAGTTGTTTTTTTTTTGTTGTTGTTTTTTGTTTGTTTTTGTTTTTTTTGGCTGTGCAGAAGCTCTTTAGTTTAATTAGACCCCATTTGTCCATTTTGCTTTTGTTGCCATTGCTTTTGGTGTTTTAGTCATGAAGTCTTTGCCCATGCCTATGTCCTGAATGGTATTGCCTAGGTTTTCTTCTAGGGTTTTTATGGTTTTAGGTCTTAGGTTTAAGTCTTGAATCCATCTTGAGTTAATTTTTGTATAAGGTGTAAGGAAGGGATCAAGTTTAAGCTTTCTGCATATGACTAGCCAGTTCTCAACACCATTTATTAAATAGGGAATCCTTTCCCCATTGCTTGTTTTTGTCAGTTTTGTCAAAGATTAGATGGTTGTAGATGTGTGGTGTTATTTCTGAGGTCTCTGTTCTGTTCCATTGGTCTGTATATCTGTTTTGTTACTAGTACTATGCTGTTTTGATTACTGTAGCCCTGTAATATAGTTTGAAGTCAGGTAGTGTAATGCCTCCAGCTTTGTTCTTTTTGCTTAGGATTGTCTTGGCTGTGTGGGCTCTTTTCTAGTTCCATATGAAATGTAAAGTAGTTTTTTTCCGATTCTGTGAAGAACGTTAATGGTAGTTTGATGGGGATAGCAATGAATTTTCACAATATTTATTCTTCCTAACCATGAGCATGGAATGTTTTTTTCATTTGTTTGTGTCCTCTCTTATTTCTTTGAGCAGTGGTTTGTAATTCTCCTTGAAGAGGTCCTTCAGATCCCTTGTAAGTTGTATTTCTAGCTATTTTATTCTCTTTGTAGAAATTTTGAATGGGAGTTCACTCATGATGTGGCTGGTCATTAGAGAAATGCAAATCAAAACAATAATGAGATACCATCTCATGCCAGTTGGAATGACGATCTTAAAAAGTCAGGAAACAACAGATGCTGGAGAAGATGTGGAGAAATAGGAAGGCTTTTACCCTGTTGGTGGGAGCGTAAATTAGTTCAACCATTGTGGAAGACAGTGTGGTGATTCCTCAAGGATCTAGAACCAGAAATACCATTTGACCTAGCAATCCCATTAATGGGTATATACCCAAAGGATTATAAATCATTCTACTATAAGGACACATGCACACATATGTTTATTGCAGCACTGTTCACAATAGCAAAGACTTGGAACCAACCCAAATGTCCATCACTGATAGACTGGATTAAGAAAATGTGGCACATATACACCATGGAATACTATGCAGGCATAAAAAAGGATGAGTTCATGTCCTTTGCAGGGACATGGATGAAGCTGGAAACCATCATTCCCAGCAAACTAACACAAGAATAGAAAACCAAACACCCCATGTTCTCACTCTTTGGTGGGAGCTGAACAATGAGAACACATGGACACAGGGAGAGGATCATCACACTCCAGGGCCTGTGGGGGGTAGGGGGTTAAGGGAGGGATAACATTAGGAAAAATACCTCATGTAGGTGGCGGGTTGATGGTGGCAGCAAACCACCATGGCACATATATACCTCTGTAACAAACCTGCACGTTCTGCACATGTAACCCATAACAAAGTAGAACACACAAAAAAAGTCAAAAAATAAAAGATGCTGGAGAGGTTGTGGAGAAAAGAGAACACTTACACAGTCTTGGCAGGTGTGTAAATAAGTTCAACCATTGTGGGAAGAAATGTGGCGCTTCTTCAAAGAGCTAAAAACAGAAATTTGACCCAACAATCCTATTATTGGGTCTATACTCAAAACAATATAAATCATTCTACTATAAAGACATACACATGAATATTCATTGCAGCACTCTTTACAATAGCAATGACAAGGAATCAACCCAAATGCTCATCAATGACAGACTGGATAAAGAAAATGTGTACATATACACCATGGAATAATGTACACTATGTAGCCATAAAAATAAGAGGCCAGGCGCCATGGCTCACGCCTGTAATCCCAGCACTTTGGGAGGCTGAGGCGGGTGGATCACGAGGTCAGGAGTTTGAGACCAGCCTGACCAACACGGTGAAACCCCATCTCTACTAAAAATACAAAAATTAGCCGGGCGTATTGGCGGGTGCCTGTAATCCCAGCTATTCAGGAGGCTGAGACAGGAGAATCCCTTGAACCCAGGAGGCGGAGGTTGCAGTGAGCCAAGATCATGCCATTGCACTCCAGCCTGGGCCATAGAGCAAGACTCCATCTCCAAAAATAAATAAATAAATAAATAAATAAATAAATAAATAAATAAATAAAGGAAGAAGAACAAGAGTATGTCTTTTATTGAAACATGGATGGAACTGGAGGCTATTATCCTTAGCAAGCTAACACAGGAACAGAAAAACAAATACCGCATATCTTCACTTAGAAGTGGGAGCTAAATGATAAGAACACATGGACACAAAGAAGGGAATGACAGACACTGGCGCCTACTGGAGGGTGGAGGGTGACAAGAGGGAGAGGAACAGAACTAAAGTTAAGCCTCAAAGTTAAGCTTCAATCACCCACAGTGGTAGCTGTTTTCACAAATTCACTTACATTAGCCATTATTTTTCTGTCTCTTCTCATATCACCTTCGCTCCCAAAGCATTATATATCCCACCTTTGTAACAGACGCATTTCACACAGATCTTTGCTTCTGGGAAATTCAATCATAGACACACCCTCTGTACTCTTTCTTTTGTGGGCCATTGATTAAGATCTGCTGGGCAGCTTAATACTGTTCCGTGGATTATCAACAGGGAAGCTCTACTGGTCCCTGAGGATCTACATTCAAGTTGACTATGGCTGGCAGCTGTTTGCTGGATTGACTCTTCCAGTAGGCAGCGGGGAGGTTCCTCTCCATAGGGATTTCTCTATAGGCTGCTTGTGCTTTCTCACGGCATGATGGCTGGACTCCAGGAGACAGAACTGGGCCTGGAAACTAGCACAGAGTCACTTCTGCCATAAAATTCTCACAGCAGTCCAAAACTCTGATCAGATTCAAGAGGAGGTAAGTAGACCTCACCTCAATAGGTTAACAGTGCCAAAAAGATAAGTGCCTATCTTTAATCCACCACAAGTAATAAATACCATCACTGTGAAAATACCCTCACATGAAAGTTCATGGCAATTCACAGTTATTTGAAATAACTTGCTTGATAAATATAGATCTAAAAATAAATTACTTTGAGGAAAGCAAAATAGATTTTTCTTACTGACAATGTAATGATAAAATGGAACTCAAGTCTATAGTTAATGTTTGTTTGGATTCAAACAGTCAAGATATTTACCTGTCTTACTAATGCCATACTCTTTGCATTTTGAGATTCAGGCTCAGGAAGTAATTATATCCTCACCATTGGAATTGCCCTGAAAGGTCTAGACTTTGTCTTAGATAACAGTAATATTGCAAGTCAGAATATTGGTGGAGGGTGTGTCTATGATTGAATTTCCCAGAAGCAAAGATCTGTGTGAAATGCGTCTGTTACAAAGGTGGGATATATAATGCTTTGGGAGCGAAGGTGATATGAGAAGAGACAGAAAAATAATGGCTAATGTAAGTGAATTTGTGAAAACAGCTACCACTGTGGGTGACTGAAGCTTAACTTTGTTGAGAAAATTCTTTAAGTCAGTTTAGAATATACATCTCAGAATTACTCCCTGCCACAGGGGAGAGCTACTGGGGTATGTATACAACTATTATCATCAGTCATTGGTTGAAAGTTGCTTCCTGGTTTCCCTGTAAACCAGGGAGTATTGCCCTGCTAAGAAGCATTGCCCTGCTACTTCCAGTCTAATTTGAATGACCAAGCGTGATACTGAAACCAGATAAATCTTAAGTCAAAGAGACCACATGTTTGCTGCCATAAGTTACAGTATGCACTGAAGTACTACATTAAAGAAATACCTGCTACAAAGCAATGTATAAAGAGAGAAAGGTACATCTATGTTTAAAAGATGTATCATTGCAATCCTTATTTCATGTTACAGCTGTCATTATAAAGAATTAGTATGTGATAGTTTTAAGCTATATATGAAAAAATTTAATGGTCTACAATTGTTTAAAATAAAAAGCAATCTTTAGTATTAGATATTCATTTACTTATAATTTAATTTTACTTTTTATATGAATTCTCTGAACTTTGTATAGATTTTGGGTAGCTTAATTGGAAATAATTAAATATTTTACAAAAACGTGCCAATTTTCAAAAACACTTATGTTTTTTGCCTTCCTTTTCTCTCTCTATATGGTTAAGTAATAAAAGCTGCTGGATTGACATCTTGGATATAAGCAGTATAATTAGCTTTCATGCTCAATACACATATATCCTCAAAAACTAAGGGCATACTCTAAAGCACAATTTTAATATGATGCTTTAATATATTCCTAAAAGTAATCAAACATTTGTGGGTTCACATCACGCTATGTTCATATTTTTAGGGTTTGCCTTCAAAGTTTTTAATGTAAAACACAGAAATTTTTACAGTTTAAAGTATGTTGGTTATTTTAGTATTAAAAAATGGCTGGGAAAAAAATGGACCCTGTAATTTGGAATGGAGATGTGTGGGAGGACCCCAATGAATGGAGGACCCCAAAGTATGTTGGTTATTTTAATATTAAACTCAGCTTTAATTTTATTTTAAATAAAATATACAGATCAGCATGCAATTCCAAATTATTTAAAATGTTTTATCTGTTACTTTTTGACTTAATAAATTTATTTTATAGGTTAGAGAAAACATCCTGAATGCCACTGTGAACACTCTTATTGACTTCTCTCAGATTTTCTCATTGTTACATAAAGGGATGTATTGTTACATGAAGTTCTTTCAGCCTTCGTTAAAACTCTCTAGAAGCATTCTGTATTAGGACTACAATCAGCAGTCATGGTTTGTATGCTTCATAATCATTTCACTGGGTTTACTTTTCAATATCCCTAGGGTATTAATCTTTTGAAAACTCACTTGCAGTGGAGATGATTCCATTGTAAAATGTTTCTTCATTCCCAATAGCACAATATAGTAAGTAGTAGGTCTATTTTCATGCTGTATCAACTAATTTGCAATCATAGCAGATCTTAAGATTTCTTCTTCCAAGATGTCTTAACCTGCCAGGGGTTATATTCATTCAATTAATGTTTGCTGTGTGAATTAATTCCATTGTGGTTTTGCTAACTCCTATTTTACTAAAAGTCTCCTTGAACCAGAGTGTCATGTTGTTTGTTTCTTGACATCTAATGAGAGGTCAGAGGAAATGATTTCTGAGATACCTTCTTAACCTTTCAAAGTCCAACATATTTTATGCTACTGTCTCAAACTAATTTTTTTAACCAAGGCATTAAATTGAAAATACCACAGAGGGTTATTATGAAAATATTTACTTTTCTCAAAACATGTGAAAATATGATGTTTTAAACTTTGTGGGAAAGGTATTGTTTACAGCAGGATTGAGAGGAAAGCAATTAGATTTTTAATCCTGCTCTCTCACTCCCTTTATAAAATTGGAAAATTTATTTAAAAATTTTGTGCCTCAGTTTCTTCATCAGCAAAACTGTTAACACATACAACTCTGTGTATGTACATGTATGTTTATAATCAGTCACACTAAATAATGCACCTATGAATGCAGGATTTATTTATTAATTATTTCACAGTTTACAAGAATATGTAGTTCATTCAAAATTATTACAAATGAAAAATAATTCATATAGACACAGGATCATATAGTCTGACATAAATTGACAACAGATGTGAAGATATTGTTGATGCTTGGTTCTGACAATGGACAAAGCAAAGCTAAAGTTAAATCTAATCTTCGATTATTTCATGTTGCTGTGCTTTCAAAGGCAAAGCAGGGGAAGTCATGCCACAGGGCAAGAGCTAAAGCAAGACAGAGAAGGGGAAGGTCCAGACTCCTTAAACCACCAGATCTCACATGAGCTAACTGAGCAAGGACTCACTCCTTATCTTCGGGATAGGACTAAGGCATTCATGAGGGACCAGTTGTCATGACCCAAACACCTCCCACTAAGCCCACTGCCAAATTGGAGGTCACATTTCAATGTAAAATTTGAAGGGGACAAAACATCCAAACCCATCTCATTAATATCCATACCCATTCTGTTCTTCAGACATCTGCTGATATAAATTAGAAAATTCAAGCAGTTCTTTTGGAGCATAGACCTGCTCGTGGGTAGCGCTCTTAGCCACACTTCCACACTTCCAGGGGCCTGCTGGGACTTGAGTCTAGTTACAGGTCTAGAAGCAAAGAAGGGTGATGGGGGTGGTCCCTGAGGAGAATCAGCATTGACTTGTCTGGCAACTGTCTCAGGGGAAGCTATTACTATTTCCTCAGGCAATGCAGGGTTAATATCCTCAGAAAAAGGTGGAAAAGCTGATACCATTCTGGGTCAGGGAGGGGATGTTGCCATCATGGAATGTAGAGAGGTCTCTTCCTCTGGCAAAATTAGCTCATCAGAATTTAGGAGCTCTGTGTCCCCAGCTTCATCAGGGTCCTCCCATATATCTCCATTCCAAATTACAGGGTCCATTTTTTTCCCAGCCAATGCTCTCACTTTAACAGTAAACACTCAGCAAGGCTGAGAGTTCACCATTTGTTGTTAGCCAGCCACTCACAGATAAGAGCTTGTGTTTGATTTTTCAGAAATTTAAACCCTTTGTCTACAGAAGAGAAGATTCTCACTGGGCACCCTTAGAAACTTTTAGGCTAGGTATGTGCCTCTGCAGCAAGGAGTTAGAATCCCTTAGCTCATCTTTATCTTTCTTCACTTTGTCCAGTGAACTTAGGACCAACCAACTTCATTATTTCTTGGTTTTCCACAAATGTTCGAAAGTATCACGTATACAGTCACTAAATTCCTTTCTTCTCAGTAGTAGTGAACCAAAAGTATCACATGCATTTATTTTGCATAACTCTAAAAACAGCTCAAGCTAGGGACTGTCAATGTTCTCTGTACTATTAGAAGCAGAGTCCTTAGAGTTTTTAGGTTTAGTCAAATTAGAGAGCCAACTTCTAAAACCCAAAACCAACTAAGGAAATTCATCCTTAAACTTCTATTTCCCTAGAACCTGTATAAGCCAGTTCCTCATATCAAAATCTGTATTAGTCACAGTTCTCCAGAGAGGCAGACACAATAGGATGTACACACACACACACACACACACACATATATATATATGTTTATTAGGTAATAGATTTATTATATAAGTTAAAGGTCTACAGGCAAAGAGGTGTGGTGAGGTTGAATCCTGAGGAGAAGCAGCATTATCTTGCCTGGCAACTGCCTCAGGAGAGGCTATTGCTATTTTCTCAGGCAAACATTTATATATATATATAAAAGTTTATTAGGGAGAATTGGCTCACAGAATTACAAGATAATGTTCCAAAATAGGTAATCTGTAAGCTGGGGAAAGAGAGAAGCCAGTAGCCTGGCTCAGTCCAAGTCCCAAGTCTGAAAGCCTTAAAACCAGGGAAATTGACTGTGCAGCCATCAGTCTGAGGTAGAATGCCCAAGAGTCATGCACCCGAGATGGGTGCACTTCTCAGCATCTGAAGGTCAAACAACCTGGAGTCTGATGCCCAAGGGCAGGAGGAGAGGAAGCAAACCATCTGGCACAGTGGGGAAAGAGAGATAGCAAGCAGACCCAGCAAGCAAGCTACTTATCACCTTCTTCTACCTGCTTTATTCTACATGCACTGGGAGCCAATTCAATGGTGCCCACCCACACTGAGGGCTGGTCTTCCTTTCCCAGTCCACTAACTCAAATATCAATCTCCTCCAGCAAATACCCTCACATACACACCCAGGAACAGTGCTTCATCAGCCATCTAGGCTCCCTCAGTTCAGTCAAGTTGATGCCTGTTATTAACAACTACAGTCTTCTTTGTCCAAAATTGCTCACAATTGCTTTATAATAAAAATTGAGTCAACTTTCAACAGGATTTTGTAATTGAGTTCTATTCACTAAATCATCTACAGAAACAGTGGAAATGTAAATAATTAGGCAATGCTTAGATAAATAATTGCTCCTCTGAGCAATTGTCTTTCATAAACCCATCAAAAGCAATGTTTTATAAAGTACATAATGCCATAAATTACATGAAGATGATAACTTATGAAAAAGCAAGAAATATGTCATCTGAAAAGGTTTTAAATGTATACAGAGCCAGGCACAGTAATAGAAATTTCACATCTTCTTACTTATGGGGGTCTGACTCACAGACCCTGACCCAACAACAGATGAATAAAGTACACTGACACACAGATATTCTGCTTTGTCAGTCCAACTGAGCGTCCGGGCCCCTTAACAGATTCCAAGCAGAGTGCTGTAAACAGTTGCAACCACAGCCCTGACCAGCCAGTGAGACTCACATTTATTTAGTAAGGATTAATTGACAAAGGCTTGAGACAACCCCACTAGAGGGTAATTGATATTGCAGACTTCCGGAGTAGAAAGCAATTAAGCACCCGTGGTAGATCAAAGGTTAGTCTTAGGACCACATGAGTAAACAAGCTAGTTAGACAAACTCCCCACATTCCTTTGTTTCTACTCTAATTTATTTAATTAAAGGGACAAGGCTGCCTTCAGCCAAGTACTATATGTAAAAACTCCCAGGCCTTCCTAAAGGGTTTGTGTATATTCTCTGTAGCTAAAATTTTTCCCACCATCATGACTGAACCCCCACAATCACTTATTTGTTGGAGCTAAAAATTAAAACAATTGAACCCCTGGTGATAGAGAGTGGAATGATGGTTAGGGATGGTCAATGGGTACACAATATAATTAGGAAGAATGAATAAGATCTAATATTTGATAACACAACAGAGTGACTGCAGTCAACAATAACTTACTGTACATTTAAAAATAACTAAAAGAGTATAATAGGATTGCATGTAACACAAAGAATGGACAAATTCTTGAGGTAATGGATACTCTATTTACCCAGATGTGATTATTGTGCATTGTACACCTGTATAAAAATATCTCATGTACCCCATAAATATGTATACCTACTATACCCACCAAAATTAAAAATAAATATATAAAATAAAATATATGCTGTGAGATACTGCAGTATTTATTTTATGTGACTTTAACTTACTCTCTTTGCTTATCCATGTGTTAAACTATTCATTTTTAATAAGCAAATGAAATGATTTATTATAAAAAGACATTATTTCATGAAATAATTTTTGATATCCAAATTATCAACATAAAAATAACAAATATTTAATGTCAATAATTTGTATGATTGTCAACATCCTGAAAATTAAAACAAACATCCATTTAGCATTTGTAGCGGACTGAAATGTATCTCCTCCAAATTCATATGTTGAAGCCTTAACCCTCAATGTGATGGAATTTAGAAGTGGGGTCTTTGGTAAGTAATTAGGTTTAGATGAGGTCATAGAGGTGAGGCTTGCATGGTGAGATTAGTGTTCTTATAATCAAAGGAAGACACCAGAGTTCTCTCTGTCTTTCTACCATGTGAGGATAAAGCAAGAAGGCAGCCATCAGCAAGGCAGGAAGTGAGACTTCACCAGGAACCAAACCTGTTGACACTTTGATTTTGGACTTACCAACATCCAAAACTGTGAGAAATAAATGTCTGTTGTTTAAGCCACCCACTGTATGGTATTTTGTTATAGTAACCTTAGCTGATTAAGAGCATTCATTGAAAATCCATGTTATTTCTTTGAATGTGAAAATGTGCTTAAAGGAGCCCTTACGCAATAATGTCCTTTCAAAGCTTTTGCAAGTTTTTTTTTTTTTTTTGCTTCTATATAAATGATTTTCAGAGCATGCAAGTTATAAGGCACACTTGCTTTCCTTTGCAAAAAGAAATCAATGCTGGTGGAGTGCATAGGCCAGTGGATAGGAGTAATTTTCCTGTTTGACTTTTGATTTTGAAAAGAAATTATATAAAATGACATTCAGGAGAGTGTAAAATCATTCACAAAGCTTCACCTGTTTTGACCCCTAGAGCAGATATTTTGCAAAATTGTTCTAGGGTACAACTTTCTTTTTATATGGAAAAAGAAACCATATTATTATTTTTTGAGTGAAAACATAAGTAAAAAGAAAATGTGAATAAGAAATGTAAAAATTCTGTTTCACTTTTCATAAGTAGGTAGTAATATTTTTTGTGATGCTTAAGCAAGAGAAGGTCATTTGAAGGCTATGATTTTAAGGCAATTATTTGTCTATGAGAGCATAGTGGATTTATAAAGATAAATGCTTTATATAAATGGCCCTTGAGAAGACTAACGGTACATTGTATCATCTGCTATTACTTTATATGATATTCAACTAATTTAATACATAATAACTTATATTGTCTTTTAAAAATTATAAATTTTTTTACACTCCCTTCTGATACCTGCTCAAGGAATATTATAATTACATTAGAAAATCAAGTTGGACATTTTTGGATTTGAAATGTGTCATAAGAGAATTCTTTTCCATTTAGCATTTGTAGTGGACTGAAATGTATCTCCCCCAGATTCATACATTGAAGCCTTAACCACCAATGTGGTGGAATTAAGAGGTAGGGCCTTTGGTAAGTAATTAGGTTTAGATGAAGTCATAGAGGTGAGAATTGTATTTTAAATACAATTCACATAAATGTTGAATTGTATTTAAAAAATAAAACTAAAGAGCGTGTTCTCCATTTAATTATCTTATGGAATAGATTTATGTTTATTCCATTATGTATTTTATAAAATACCCATTTGCCCTGTGATGTGAAAAAAACAATATTTAATAGATAATAAAATCCCTTTTTAGAAATATTTCTGAAGAATGAAATAAAAAATATATAGCATTTGAGGCAAGAGAGTTCAATTAGATGGAAAGACAAAGCTTAATTAAAAATAATGCCTTCCTTATATATATACTAGAAACTACCAGTTAAAAAAGAAAATTAATTCACATTAGTAAAAATGACTATAGCAATACTACCAAGTGACTAAATGAATGTAACAAAATGTTCAAGATATTTAGCTGCATACATCAAAATGTAAAAGAACGCTTAAGAAAATCTGAGTAAATGAGAGAGAATTTGTATTTCGTGGTTCAGAAGACAATATTGTATAATGTCAATACTCAATATTTATCTGTAAATTCAACCTAGCCTAATCAAAATAGCAACAAGATAATTTAAAGACCTTGGCAAGCCAATTCAAAAGTTAACATGGAAAAGTAAATGTTCAAAATAATATCTCAGAAAAAAATTTTAATAAATTTTACTCTTCTTCTGTAAGTAGAGAAAAATGGATATTTTAATTTTTGGTACATCATCCAACACATGAATTATTTACTTGGAAAAAGATTTACTTGGAAAAAGTAATGTTGGGAGAAATATTTATTTTTTTCTCACATCTTTTACACTATTTTATATTCTCAGTAACTATGCATCATATGTAAATGATATTGACATTAGAGGTAATAAATTATACATATATAATTTGTTATAATTTATATTAACTGGTCATATAAGACAAATTATGCATATAAAATATATATTACACATGGAGAGCACACACACATATATAATTACAGTTTGGACATAGTCATTAAAATAAAATATTACCATAGAAATTAAGTGTATGCATATGTTTGTACCTAAGTCAAATTAAAATGAGCTGCTATATATAAATGATTAATTTTTTTACATCAGCCTTTATATTTTAAGAAGTGTTGAATTATAGTCTAATTTTAGTTGCTTGAAATTGACTTCACAAAGCTTTATTTTGAATTTCACAAATATGTCAATATTTTGTAGATACTATTTTATAAAATTTAATCTACTATTTTACTTATAACTATAGCTTTTATGTTTTCATTTTATAGACAGTGATTACCTAGATCCCTTTAACAATTCAAAACTAATAGACTCCATATCTTGTTTCAGTATACATTATGGACAGATTTTAATTGAACAAATGACTTGCTTTTCTGTCTACCATGGTTTTACTCAGTCCGTATTTCTACTAATTTAAATGATCATATTGACATAAAGTCAATTATCTTGAAGTGCTTCTGTATCTCTCATATGGCTTGGCTGTGTCCCTACCAAAATCTCACCTTGAATTGTAATAATTCCTATGTGTCAAGGGTGGAGCCAGGTGGAGATAAAAGAATCATGGTGATGGTTTCTCCCATAATGTTCTCATGGTAGTGAGTAAGTCTCAGGTGGTCTCATTGGTTTCATAAATAGGAGTTCCCCTGCACAAGCTTTTTTTGCCTGCTGCCATGTAAGATGTGACTTTGCTTTTCCTTTGCCTTCTGCCATGATTGTGAGGCCTCCCCAGCCATGTGGAACTGTGAGTGCATTAAACTTCTTTTACCTTATAAATTACCCAGTCTCAGGTATGTCTGTATTAGCAGCATGAGAATGAACTAATAACAATCTAAAATATCCTATTGAAATTAGTAAATAGTTGCATTTCTCCTTTTTAATATATACACAGATTTGCACCTATTCTATAAAATAGTCATCTATGTATAATATTCAACTTCTTTGAAAATATAAAGTAGAAACTCATGTTGGTCAAATTCCACCAAAAGATTAGAACAAAGTCACCATGGTGACCCCGCCATGTGATCCTGTCTCTGGCTCTGAATTCCTCTTTCACTTGAGGTTTCTCACTATTTACCACTGCCATTATCAGGCTGTTTCATAGACATAATCCATTCTAATAATGAAACACAATCTTTCCCTTCTATGCTGAAGAGAGGTGCACAAAGTTATGTTCAAACATATGTAATAATGCCACTGAGGGGTACTTGACTTCAAAGTCTCTTGAACCTTCAGTGAAGAAAGCCTGGAAAGGAAGTGGCAGAGTGCAGCACAGCTCACCCTGTGTAGACTGCTTTTGTCTAATACATATGAGAGAACTTAAAAATGTTTGTGAAAAAACTGAATTATAAAAAAAAAATTAACAATATAAACTTTCCTTCTCAACATAAGTTCCAGAAAGTTCAACACACCTTTGTATATGATGATACCAGCCATTAAGTCCAGGCCTAAAGAACTGAGGGTTCTAAGAATTTAACCATGTGAATGCAGTATTTTTTTCATTATTAACTGTAAAAGGGGTGTGTTTTACAAACGTTTCAAGATTAGGAAACATAAATGAGTTAGAAAGAGACAAGTCAGTACTGTATAGGGGCTGCTTAACAATTTCCCATTGAAATTCTCACAAAATTATCCTTGCTTGATGAGAGGAATGAGCAGGACCATTATCATGGCAGAGAAGGACTCTTTGGTGAATGTTTCACAGGAATTTTTCTGTGAAAGCTTTGGCTGTCTCAAAACTCTTTTATAATAAACAAAGTTATCATTATTTGGCCCTCTGGAAAGTCAACAAGCAAAATGCCTTGAGTATCCATCCCAAAACACTGTTGTCATGTGACCTTTGCTCTTGACTGGCCTGTTTTTGTCTTGACTGGACCATTTCCATGTCTTGGTAGCCATTGTTTTGATTGCGCCACTACACCTTCAAGATCGTATTTGTAAAGCTATGTTACATCTCCTGTTAAATTATTCAAAGAAATGCTTCACAATTTTGAACCCACTTGTTTAAAATTTTCATTGAAAACTCTATTCTTGTCTGCAGCTGATCTGGGCATAACAGTTTTAGCATCCATTGAGTGGGGAGTTTGCTCAACTTTAATTTTTCAGTAAGAATTTATGTGAACTAAATAAATTGAGATGTTTATAGTGTTGGCTGTTATTGCTGCAGTTATTCAGTGATCTTCTTCAATTAGGGCAAGAACAAGACATTTTTCTTGCACGTCAATATGGATGGTCTGCCACTGTGGACATTATGTTCAAGGTCTCATCCTTTCTTAAAACTAATTATTCATTTTAAACTGCTGATTTCCTTAGGGCATTGTCCCCATAAACTTTTTGTAAAACATTGATAATTTCACTATTCTTCCACACAAGCTTTATCATAAATTTAATATTCTTGTTGGTTCAATTTTAGCAGAATGCATGTTGCTCTGATGGGGGTTGTTTTCAAACTGATGTCTTATCCTTCTTAGTGACTCAAAACTAGATAACATTCAGACATGTTATTACAAGTTAATATAGTTTATTTTGGTGCCATTTTTAAATTCATGCAGAGCTTTTTTCATAATATGCAGTTTCCATGAGCCTTTTGAAGACCCCTTATAGTGTCATTTACAGTAAACCAGATTTCATGAAAAGGTCAACAAGATGATAATGTATTTTCATATCAATTGTTAAAACTTTCAACATTTTAAGTGTCATGAAACTAGCCACTTTCCTAGAAATTACATAATGTCTTACATTATGAAAAAGCAATAATTTGTTCAGTGAGCCTCCTTTAGAATCAACAACGTTAAGCTGTTAAACTGGATGTGCTTTACTGCTACCTTGGTGCAAGATATGATAGAAGGGCTGGGCGTGGTGGTTCACACCTGTAATCCCAGCACTTTAGGAGGCCGAGGCGGGTAGATCACGAGGTCAGGAGATCGAGACCATCGTAGCTAACATGGTGAAACCCCGTCTTTACTAAAAATACAAAAAATTAGCCAGGTGTGGCGGCGGGCACCTGTAGTCCCAGCTACTCGGGATGCTGAGGCAGGAGAATGGTGTGAACTCGGGAGGCGGAGCTTGCAGTGAGCCAAGATCACGCCACTGCACTCCAGCCTGGGCGACAGCGCAAGACTCCGTCTCAAAAAAAAAAAAAAAGATAGAAGATGCCTAATTAATTTCAAATTTTATATAAGCAACAAATAACTTCTTAGCATAATTAGTATAATAATTACAAGTATGTATCACTGCTGTTATAACCAATCATCAATATTTGAGATAGAATAGAAAAATACCCCTTGCTAATCTGAAATTAAGTATGTGAGGTGACAGGTTACTTAATTCAATTGAAGAAACCATTTTGCAAAGTAAATGTAGAAATATCACATTATACTCTTTAACTATAAACAAGGTTTGTCAATCATACCACAACAAAAAATAATAAAATAAACATATTTAATTGGATGTCCTTTTTTATTTGCTAAATCTGACAGCTCTAATGCGAATGTAGCTACTACATCTAGTACTCCTACTGGCTAACTTGTATTGCTGCTTAACATATGCCATGTACTTCTCAAGTATTTTATGTGGATTATCACAATATTTACTGAAATCCTATAGAGTGAATACTATTATTATGTCTTTACCAATGATAAAACTAAAGCATAGAGAAGGCAAGTAACTTGCTAGAAGCCCACACACCAAGTAAGTAGTATGGCTAGTTTCAGAACTACTTATTTTAAGTTCCAAGCCCACGTTATTACAATCTAAGGCTTACTGCTTATAATAATTTTTTCCACTTCAAATTATAGTAGAAAATTCCATCGTATAAAAGGTGCTTCAATCAATTGTGCTTAAATTTAGAATTATGAGTTAGACTCTGGGGGCCAGGCTATTTTAGCTGGCTGCCAGTATGGAGAAGACAGTTTGATAGAGGAAGGAAAGAGGATTCAGTAGCTGGGGTGATTTACAGCACAAAGAGAGTATTGTCTCATTTCCATTAGGAGAAGAAAGCCTATTTTCAAAAAGTTTTTGATCACATATTTTTTGTTGACCTATGCACATTTCTGACTCACAAAAGCAAATATATATCACCTCTGTTAGAATCAAGCGGACTTTGCAATCAAGACCACTGCCAGCTTATTTCAAGGGAGGAAGGTACTAACCAGACACAGAGATTTCAAAATAGTCTTGTTGTGTATTTATACTATAATTTGCTGGATTTCTCATTTACTTTCCTATGAGAAATCTGATGATATTAATCTACAAGGTCAACTCTGTTGAGATTCTGAACAAATTCTGACAAATGTGAACTGTAAATCAGGTCATTTCTACCAGGAATTACTATAGGTGTGGTGACACATTGGCCTGGGCCATAACTCTAAGGAAGTAATTAACACAACCATATTGAATGAAAAGACATAAATACAGCAGTATATAATGTCTTCTCGAGTATTTTATGGAACATATGTGGGTGCTTCCTAATGCTACCCCCACAGATCCTTACTTACAACCTCATTACATTTTCTGCCTCCTTTTTCCCTACCTGCATTTACTATAGTGACAGCTGTTCCTTGTTTTGGCTTCTGCTTCTGGATTCACTCCCGGTACATGGTCACACATCCTTGGTTTTCAGGAGGCTTAATTCCTGCTTTCTGGCATCAGCCACTGCATTCATTCATATTCTGCCATAGGTTCCCAGCAGGGCTTTATTCTCCATCATTTCAAATCAGCTTACATCTATTCAGACAAGCCATTCCAGTCAATTACCCAGCTATAGCCATGGACTGTACCCCTGGTTGGCCCCATGGATTACAGCACATGCAAATCCTCTTCTAGTCAAAATCTATATTCACAGTTCTGTTTTCACACCAAAACTGGATCTTTGCCCTAGCAACAATCTGTATGACTGGAACCTTAACATTCTCACTAGTGCCTGGCAGTTCTGTAGAAGACAGTTAATATATTACAATGTCTCAAATCAACAGACTGGAACATCTGAACTATTTCTATCATAGCCAATGACATGGACTGAAATTATTTGGATATCAACAGAAACTCAAAAGAATCTTGTAATATAAAAACGTGACCCCCTGCTATCTCTTTTACCTCTCATTCTCGTACCTTAAAATGAAGAATGCAGTCAGATCAAGACCTTTAGTCTAAATTTACTTCCCAACTAATTAGTCTTCCATTCTATTAAAGCTTCAGGTAGCCCTATTAACATTTTCCTTCAGCAATTCTTCCACTTTGCTTTTTCTTTTCTCTCTCTCTTTTTCCTTCTTTCTACTTTTTATGTTTTCTTACAGTTTTTAAACTCTGGTGTAAATATTTAAGTAACAGTATCACCAAAACCAAAACATTTAGTCAAAATATACTTGTTTTTGCAGGGTTTTAAAATATCTTTTAGAGTAAAGAGACCACTATTTCAAGTAAAATGTCATTTTGTAAAAATTCCATTTTTTTTCTGAGGGGCAGGATATATCATTTTTATTTTTATTTTTATTTTAGCTTTGTTGCTTTTGGGATTTTACTTTCACTTGTAACTTTACTGATGATCTCTACACTACTTGTGGAATAACTCAATAACTTTGCTTCCTCAGTTGCTCCATTTTTTGCCATATAGACTACAAGATATTCCATATTTTTGGCCATCATTTCTATTAACTGCCTTTTTTAAAATACTGAGAGTTGCTGCTTTAGGCCTTAATTATTTAAAGTGTTTCCACTCTTGTTCAAATAAGCATATTTTTTAACACTTCCAATCAAACATATTGTGAGGTTTATCTTCTAGAATCCCCAAAATGAGACATTTTCTGAAATATTGAGAATGACCTCTTCTTTGTATGGAGGTCCTGAATCACATAAACAAGATATTGCTGAAATCTGAGAGATGTGTAATTTCATTCTGCTCCCTTTGCTGTGAAATATAGAACCATTGGTGTCATGAAATCGAAGAAGGATAAAAATGAAGGTCTTTACTGATAGAAGCATGTGCAGTTTATATTAGATTAAGAGGGATGGAAACAGATCTGTAGTTTTTGAAGTACATGAAAAACTACAGTAGCACTGACGATACTGGCAGGTCAGGGCTGTAAATGGAAATAACTACTTTAGGGACAGACTGTTCAAGACCCATATTGAGAACCTGTGTGTCGCATATTTCCAGAAAATCAATTTATTTTCAGTAACTTGGGAGCGCTATGGTTTATGAAATATAGTTATAGTTCAACTGTCAGCACAAAGCAAAATTTCAAAGTGAGTTCACCAGTGTTGTTTTGCTCCTCTAGGAGAAAAACACACCAGACACTTTATTTCACTTTGCACTTTTCAGTTTTTCTGCCTAAATGCACCCACTTGATTTCTTAGTAAATGTGTTCATTCCTTTCAAATTAAAATAATTTGAGCCTTTGTGTGAACTTGTTCATATGACAGATATGAGATGTAAGTAAATTTGTCAAGCTGAATAAAATATTTTAACAAACTGTGATAAAAACAACTTGTTATTGGTCACAGACTATTAAGTTGAAGTAAGGCTCTGTCTACTGAAAAAAGGTACCTGCGGATATCTTCAGATTGTACTAAATAAATCATTAAATTTCCACTTATAAGTTGATATCCCCTTTAAATACATTATAGTCAACATACAGATATCCTGAAATACCTATTTTAATATTGTATGGTGCATAGTAGTAATGGGAAACATTTGGCAAGCCCTATTAGTTGTGATATTTAAAAAAACAGCTCCAAGAATTATATACTGTATCCTTTCTAATTAATGACTAAACAAATGTCAGTGTGGTATTAAATTCAATTACCATTTATTAGTCATTTTCAATCTGGGAAAACACGTTTTTATACAGTCTCCTGAATGTGCATAGAATGTTATTATAACTTACGAAGTCTGTTTTAAGTAAAATCCTCTTTGTATTATTAATAATAGAGCCAGAGTTTAGTTTACCTGTTGGTATCTGAACAGTTTTTACTTTCCTCCTCCAATAGCACAAACAATATGGTCTTTTATTGACATCTCAAGATCTAAACACAGAGCTAATGGTCTTTGTTTTCTTTCAAGAGGAATATGTAACATACTTATTTAGTTTATGAAAATATTAATAGTTTTGGGTTTCATATGTTTTGAATAATTAAAAATTAAATAAAATATTTTATCACAATTTTGTGAAAAAATTTGTAATGTCATCTAGAATTTGAAGTTATAGCGATAACATCAAATGGTTCGATAATGGAATTTATGTAGCACTTTCAAACAACTCATCAGGAAGAATTAAAACTTTCATTGAACAAAAATGTAAATAAAATTGGTTATTTACGAAACAAAACTATTCATAGATTATAGATGAGAAAATTAGACTGGGTATTTTTACTATAATGATATCTAGTAAAGTGAATAAAAAAGACAATTTAGATGCATAATCTATGTAGAAAGTTTTTTATTTCTGGACTTTTTTTCCTAAAAAAATAAAAGAATAAAAAAGAAGGAACAATATAATTCTATACCTGTCATAAATTGTCAGCCAAGGAAGAAAACATGCACATTTAGTGCAGCGTGGTGCTAAATTTACCCCATTCTCTATAAGCCGCATAGTTGACTTGTTAAAATAGTGAGAATTTTTAATAATAATAGTGAGTCCAGATCAAAGTTAAATGAGTAGATATTCTTTATTTTCCCTCCGCTGTATGGAAAGTAGAGCAAAAGGTATTAAAACAATCACTGCTGACTCTCACAGATGGCAAGGTTTCAGGACTCCACAATAATTTGGTGGAATTCACGAAAGTCTGACTTCATTCCCACTTGAGGATGTGTAGCAACTGTCACAACAATGTAGAATAAATGTACAGGATGCATAACAAAATTTCAGAGAGGTAAGCAGATAATTGTTATGCTGATATAGATTAAACCAAGTTTTAGTTAAGTCTTCCCACATCACTTCCAACTTCATAAAAGTCTAGCTTAGAGAACAAAGCCACACAGTCTCAACTCAGCTGAGATGGGAGTCAAGAAAAAGTCACTAAAGCTGTGTCAGATGAAATAGTCATATGGTGAAACTGATTCATTTTAACATCAACTAAAATAAAAAGAAATTAACTCACAATCAATTTGAAATTTAAAAAATGAACTCAGCCTGCAAAAGATTATCGAAGGAACTATTTTGGGACAGATTGAAACATTGTATAAATGTTTCAGGTGTAAGAACTGCTTAGGTGGAATATGAAGTCAATTTAAAAAAAAGAAACCTCAATAATGTAATGTCATAATAATATAATTAGCCAAAAATAGATATTGGTGAGCCAAGGAGGGGAAATGAGTATTCAAACAATGCTTTTAGGCATTTACGAATGCATTAAAAATAGGAACAAATAGAAGAGACATCTGAAAAAACATAGAAAAAAACTTGAGAAAAGTACAGTAAACATAAAAGGAAAGGGAAATAAATTAAAGCAATAAAGAGAAGAGATTGGACATAAGGGATAGAAGTAGAAAATGTAAAAATTATATCCAGCAAATCAAACAGAGACAGTGTTTGAAGATAATAAAAGAAATTACCTTGAAATTAAGGAAGCTCTGAAACTGCATATCAAAAACTTATCATAATCCAGGCAAACATCGAAACAATTTTACTAACACTCAAATATCTGTTGATTCAAGTGTTCAATTCAGAGTCAAAGAATTACTGGTTTCATAGATATATCAGTTAAGAATGAAAATCATAGATCACTTGACTGTACTCGCTTAACTAACTTATTTTCTTCCCCCATATATCAAGAATTCAGTACTAATGCATCAATTTAGGAAAGTCACTAGTATCATACACAGGCTTCCTCTATCCTTTTCTTCTGCCATGTGACTGTCATCTAATGCATTGGTCCCCAAATGCCCGGTCCGCATAGCAGGAGGTGAGCAGCAGGTGAGCAGGCAAACCTGAGCTGAGTCTCCTATCAGATCAGTGGTGGCGTTAGATTCTCATAGGTGTGCAAATCCTGTTGTGAACTGTGCATGTGGGGGATGTAAGTTGCATGCTCCTTTTGAGGATCTAATGCCTGATTATTTGTCACTGACTTGCATCACCTTTAGATGGGACCGTCTAGTTGCAGGAAAACAAACTCAGGGCCCACTGATTCTGCATTATGGTGAGTATGTAATATAAATAAAGTGCGCAATACATGTAATGTGCTTAAATCATCCTGAAACCATATCGCCCACCCCATCCATGGAAAAATTACCTTCCATGAAACTGATCTCTGGTGCCAAAAAGACCACTGGATGCAAGATATTGTTCTACTAATCCAGGTGTTGCTTCTTATGCTCAGGTATGAGGGGTGGGGTTGGATGAATTTTGGGCAGATATGGAGGAGGACAAAACCTTTTCTTTAGCGAGAATTTGTCTATTTTTAGAGAAGAGTAGACTATGGTTATGTAATGTGTCACTTTAGTAAAATATAACCAGATTTTATTCTTCAATATTTTCAATTTAGAATTAGCTATAAATAAAATGTGCAATTGAACTGCAGCAAGTTGAAAGGAAAATGATCACATAGCTAAAACTGTCTTCTTTAAGCCCTAATTTAAAATTTTTGTGTCATTCAAAACAGCATCATTCTTACTAAATTACCTTATAATTAAATAATTGTTACAAATTTGAACTTAAAAAATAAATAAATAAAAAATAAAATCTGCAAAAGATTTGATAAGAAAATATCTAGCAGCAACTGCCACATTAAGAAAGTCATAACTGGTTAGAGGGAGAAAGGAAGGTAGCTGTCAGATTGTACATTCTGTTCACCATTGAACATCTTATTCACCTTCCCATGTCTATAACTTCTGATCAATTGCCATCCATGAAGATCAGTTGTGACCCCAAGCCCACCACTGGGAACATGCTTTGAATTCATACAGCCAGCAATCTCCCATGGGCATTACCAGCAGCCCCCTCTACAATTGTATTGTGGCTGCTGGAATAGCCTGGCCTTCTGCAAACTCCAGCTTGTTCATCTGCACTGAAGTTGGCTAGTGACATTCCACTTATTGTTTCTGAACGTTTACACTTAGACAGTCTAGTTTCTGTAGAAAATTCTTTGTTGTTGAATATTCATTGAGTATTTGCTTTCCTGATTGAGAGGTAGTTCATTGGAAGGGCTATGTCATTTGAACATTCCTAAGTAGAAGAGAGTAGGCAATGTGAATAGTTTTAGCTAGGTACATTGCTACCTCTAACAGAATTAGACTGATTTTATTACAGAAGTAGTAGGATTGGTTATTAGGTAGGCAAATAACAGCATATACAACACACCGTCTCTTTGGCTAACTACCATACATTCACACACACCTCTACAGTGATGACACTCAGCTGTTCTCCCAGGGAGAAGCCCCAGATCACATGCAATTACTGCATTGATCTTGTGGACCTAACTCTTTGGGTTTGTATTTCATTCTTCATTGGTCCCAAGGTAACTCCTCATGGCCTTGCCATTTAAAATCACTAAAACATATGTTATATGCTTCTAAAAAAACCAACATACACTGACAGAGAAAGAATGAATAGCTGTGATTAAAGCCCCATCCTGACAAGGAGAGAATATGAAACCTATAGCAGTCACTGGTTGAGGACACATAACAAATTCTGCTGGTTGTTAATTGGAAAGACAACACACTCCTGTAAGTAGAGGATGTTACCTAGTTAGTCAATTATTCTGTCCCTAGTTCATTTTTCTAGGAGAATTTTCAAGCCCCATTTTACTGCATGTTTCATGGATCTTTCTTCTGGGAAAATTCATTCATTCTCATTATCCACACTTTAAACCAACCTCGGGCGATTACCTTTCTGGGGACTGTGTAATGTTTGTGCTGGAGGATGTTATTGATGACCTATGCTCCTAATTTGTTCCTGTTTAGCCATCCGTATCATGGTTTTTGTTTTGTTTTGCTTCAGTTTGTTTGTTTTTGTTGTTCTTGTTGTACCACATCCAAAGATTAAGACTGTGTTTCAAGTAGAAAGAAGAAAAAGGCTAAATGAGTCAAAGGGGATGTTTCTTTCTAATATTTTGCCTTTTCATTTGTGAAGGGTTGCCTTACACAGAGATTTACTTCAAAATTTTATTGGCTAGAATTCTGTTGCATGGACACCACTATCAGTGTGGGAATGTAGACAAATTTATATTTATCACTGCACATGTCCTAAAGAAAATTGGGGCCCTCTGAATGAGAAGTGGAGGGGGATTGATATCAGATAGATATCCACCAGAATCAACTACTCTTGTCAATATATTGAATAAAACATACTTTTTAAAAATCTATCTCTGAGAAAAATATAAAGTGTGGGAGAGACAGAGAGATAGATCCTACACAAATTTTAAAAAGCAATCTCCACTTGACCAGAATTCACAATTATAAATGGTAGCTGATAATATGCAGCATTTGCACTGACAGGTCCAGATATAAACTATTCAATGTAACCAATAACAAGCTGTTAAAGACTGGAGTAAAGGCAAAATTACCCAACAAACATAATTCAAACATACAGTGTCCATGAATTTTAAGCCCCAGCTGGGTATTTGTTAGGGTAAAATCGTTAAACTGAACAATAAGCAGAGGAATTGATGAGAAAACTTATATTGCTTTGTAGCAATTGGAAGCAAACACAAAACATGTCCCCAGAAAATAGGCAGAAGTAAAAAAGGCAATCATAGGAGACACAATTTAACCTAGAATTAGGAGGTTTCAAAGCCAAATTGCCTCAAAGTTAAATAGGCAAAGAAGACTTTAGTTGAGACTGTGCAATAGGGGAGAGGCCAGAACTCAGTCTGACCTGAAATACTTTGAAACAAAAGACTGGAAATGTTTCAGGTGCTGGGGTAGGGAGATTAGAGGCCGCTTGTGTATGCTAATTGCCGTTAACCAAAGGGAAGTAAACTTCCTCATATCTTCACTAGAGAAGTTAATTTTACAGAAGGTAAGTTTACAATGAACTCCAGTGAAATTAGACTCATATCCTTCTACAGAGAGACTGCCAAATAGAGGCATTATCTTTCTTGATGATTACATTTCAAAGGCATGAATTCCAGGTCCTAGAGAAAGGCATTCCTAGGTTGTAATACCAGCAAGAGACTTTGAAAAGGATTACATCTCTAAGAAGCAAAGAAGTAATTTACCAACAGAATAAATAGACGACCTACAGAAATGAGAAAAAATTGTGCTGCCTATGTATCTAGACAAAGGTCTAATATTGAGCATCTATAAGAAAGTTGAACAAATTTAAAAGAGAAAAATAAACACCCTTATTAGAAAGTGGGCAAATGACATGAACAGACAGTTTTCTAAAGAAGGCACGCACATGAGCAAAATGCCTATAGAAAAAAGCTCAATATCACATATTATTAGAGAAATGGAAATCAAAACCACAATGAGATACCATCTCACACCAGTCAGAATGGCTATTACTAAAAAGTCAAAAACTAACAGATGCTGGCAAGGTTGCCGACAAAAGAGAACACTTATACACTGTTAGTGGTAGGTGTAAATGAGTTTAACCATTGTGGAAAGCAGTATGGTGATTCCTCCAAGAGTTAAAAGCAGAACTACCATTTGATTCAACAATCCCATTACTGGGTATATATCCAGAGGAATATAGATATATGCTGTATTCTACCATATGACACATGCATGTGAATGTTCATTGCAGCATTATTCACAATAGCAAAGACATAGAATCAATCTAAATGCCCATCACTGGTAGACTGCATAAAGAAAATGTGGTACATATACACCATGGAATATTATGCAGCCATAAAAAAAGAAAGATATGCATTCTGTGATAAAGACACGTGCATGTGAATGTTCATTGCAGCACTAGTCACAATAGCAACGACATAGGATCAACCTAAATGTCCATCATTGGTAGACTGCATAAAGAAAATGTGGTACATATACACCATGGAATATTATGGACCCATAAAAAAGAACAAGATCATGTCTTTTGAGGGAACATGGGTGGAGCTGGAGGCTATTATCCCCAGCAAACTAATGCAGAAACAGAAAACCAAATACTACATGTTTTTTTCTTATAAGTGGGAGCTAAATGATGAGAACTTGTAACACAAAGAAGGAAATAACAGACACTGGGATCTACTTGAGGGTAGAGGGTGGGAGGAGGAGAGGAGCAGAAAAAATAACTATAGGGTACTGGACTTAATACATGGGTGATGAAATAATCTGTACAACAAACCCCCATAAGTTTACCTATGTAACAAACCTGCACATGTACCCCTGAACCTAAAATACTAGTTAAAAAAAATTACATCTCTAAGAAGCAAAAAAAGAATTTGCAATTACAAATTTTATAAAATAAAAGCTCTCAGATAAAGGAGCTCTAGAATCAGGAAGGGGCTTGTCTGAAGTTTAGTCAAGTTGAGGAGAACATTAAGGCCATAGTGGTCAGAGGCACACAAGAAAGTTGAACATGGTTGCATGTTCTCAATGGATTCCAGAAGTAGAGGAGTTCATATTCAAGGAAAGGGAATAAAGAAAAGAGCAAATACAAAAGACTTCAAAATAAACACATTTGAAATACCCTAGAAATTGGGAGAGGATAATACTGATCAAAAATAAAACAAGTAGGGAGAAAAAGAGATAATTTAGACATCATGAAAATAAAAACATACCTGGGAGGAGCCAAGATGGCCGAATAGGAACAGCTCTGGTCTACATCTCCCAGCGTGAGCGACGCAGAAGACGGTGATTTCTGCATTTCCATCTGAGGTACCGGGTTCATCTCTCTAGGGAGTGCCAGACAGTGGGCGCAGGTCAGTGGGTGCAGCGCACCGTGCGCGAGCCGAAGCAGGGCGAGGCATTGCCTCACTTGGGAAGCGCAAGGGGTCAGGGAGTTCCTTTTCCTAGTCAAAGAAAGGGGTGACGGACGCACCTGGAAAATCTGGTCACTCCCACCCGAATACTGCGCTTTTCTGAGGGGCTTAAAAAACGGCGCACCACGAGATTATATCCCGCCCCTGGCTCGGAGGGTCCTACGCCCACGGAGTCTCGCTGATTGCTAGCACAGCAGTCTGAGATCAAACTGCAAGGCGGCAACGAGGCTGGGGGAGGGGCGCCCGCCATTGCCCAGGCTTGATTAGGTAAACAAAGCAGCTGGGAAGCTCGAACTGGGTGGAGCCCACCGCAGCTCAAGGAGGCCTGCCTGCCTCTGTAGGCTCCCCCTCTGGGGGCAGGGCACAGACAAACAAAAAGACAGCAGTAACCTCTGCAGACTTAAATGTCCCTGTCTGACAGCTTTGAAGAGAGCAGTGGTTCTCCCAGCACACAGCTGGAGATCTGAGAACGGGCAGACTGCCTCCTCAAGTGGGTCCCTGACCCCTGACCCCTGAGCAGCCTAACTGGGAGGCACCCCCCAGCAGGGGCACACTGACACCTCACACGGCAGGGTATTCCAACAGACCTGCAGCTGAGGGTCCTGTCTGTTAGAAGGAAAACTAACAAACAGAAAGGACATCCACACCAAAAACCCATCTGTACATCACCATCATCAAAGACCAAAAGTAGATAAAACCACAAAGATGGGGAAAAAACAGAACAGAAAAACTGGAAACTCTAAAAAGCAGAACGCCTCTCCTCCTCCAAAGGAACGCAGTTCCTCACCAGCAACAGAACAAAGCTGGGTGGAGAATGACTTTGACGAGCTGAGAGAAGAAGGCTTCAGACGATCAAATTACTCTGAGCTATGGGAGGACATTCAAACCAAAGGCAAAGAAGTTGAAAACTTTGAAAAAAATTTAGAAGAATGTATAACTAGAATAACCAATACAGAGAAGTGCTTAAAGGAGCTGATGGAGCTGAAAACCAAGGCTCGAGAACTATGTGAAGAATGCAGAAGCCTCAGGAGCTGATGCGATCAACTGGAAGAAAGGGTATCAGCGATGGAAGATGAAATGAATGAAATGAAGCGAGAAGGGAAGTTTAGAGAAAAAAGAATAAAAAGAAATGAGCAAAGCCTCCAAGAAATATGGGACTATGTGAAAAGACCAAATCTATGTCTGATTGGTGTACCTGAAAGTGATGGGGAGAATGGAACCAAGTTGGAAAACACTCTGCAGGATATTATCCAGGAGAACTTCCCCAATCTAGCAAGGCAGGCCAACGTTCAGATTCAGGAAATACAGAGAACGCCACAAAGATACTCCTCGAGAAGAGCAACTCCAAGACACATAATTGTCAGATTCACCAAAGTTGAAATGAAGGAAAAAATGTTAAGGGCAGCCAGAGAGAATGGTCGGGTTACCCTCAAAGGGAAGCCCATCAGACTAACAGCGGATCTCTCGGCAGAAACCCTACAAGCCAGAAGAGAGTGGGGGCCAATATTCAACATTCTTAAATAAAAGAATTTTTCAAACCAGATTTTCATATCCAGCCAAAC
Source organism: Homo sapiens (assembly GCF_000001405.40). Classification (NCBI taxonomy): domain Eukaryota; kingdom Metazoa; phylum Chordata; class Mammalia; order Primates; family Hominidae; genus Homo; species Homo sapiens. The sequence goes on along the minus strand of NC_000005.10, from coordinate 25,382,795 downwards.
TAAGCTTCATAAGTGAAGGAGAAATAAAATACTTTACAGACAAGCAAATGCTGAGAGATTTTGTCACCACCAGGCCTGCCCTAAAAGAGCTCCTGAAGGAAGCGCTAAACATGGAAAGGAACAACCAGTACCAGCCGCTGCAAAATCATGCCAAAATGTAAAGACCATCGAGACCAGGAAGAAACTGCATCAACTAATGAGCAAAATCACCAGCTAACATCATAATGATAGGATCAAATTCACACATAACAATATTAACTTTAAATGTAAATGGAGTAAATGCTCCAATTAAAAGACACAGACTGGCAAATTGGATAAAGAGTCAAGACCCATCAGTGTGCCATATTCAGGAAACCCATCTCACGTGCACAGACACACATAGGCTCAAAATAAAAGGATGGAGGAAGATCTACCAAGCAAATGGAAAACAAAAAAAAGGCAGGGGTTGCAATCCTAGTCTCTGATAAAACAGACTTTAAACCAACAAAGATCAAAAGAGACAAAGAAGGCCATTACATAATGGTAAAGAGATCAATTCAACAAGAAGAGCTAACTATCCTAAATATATATGCACCCAATACAGGAGCACCAAGATTCACAAAGCAAGTCCTGAGTGACCTACAAAAAGACTTAGACTCCCACACATTAATAATGGGAGACTTTAACACCCCACTGTCAACATTCGACAGATCAACAAGACAGAAAGTCAACAAGGATACCCAGGAATTGAACTCAGCTCTGCACCAAGCAGACCTAATAGACATCTACAGAACTCTCCACCCCAAATCAACAGAATATACATTTTTTTCAGCACCACACCTATTCCAAAATTGACCACATACTTGGAAGTAAAGCTCTCCTCAGCAAATGTAAAAGAACAGAAATTATAACAAACTATCTCTCAGACCACAGTGCAATCAAACTAGAACTCAGGATTAAGAATCTCACTCAAAACTGCTCAACTACATGGAAACTGAACAACCTGCTCCTGAATGACTACTGGGTACATAACGAAATGAAGGCAGAAATAAAGATGTTCTTTGAAACCAATGAGAACAAAGACACAACATACCAGAAACTCTGGGACGCATTCAAAGCAGTGTGTAGAGGGAAATTTATAGCACTAAATGCCCACAAGAGAAAGCAGGAAAGATCCAAAATTGACACCCTAACATCACAATTAAAAGAACTAGAAAAGCAAGAGCAAACACATTCAAAAGCTAGCAGAAGGCAAGAAATAACTAAAATGAGAGCAGAACTGAAGGAAATAGAGACACAAAAAACCCTTCAAAAAATTAATGAATCCAGGAGCTGGTTTTTTGAAAGGATCAACAAAATTGATAGACTGCTAGCAAGACTAATAAAGAAAAAAAGAGAGAAGAATCTAATAGATGCAATAAAAAATGATAAAGGGGATATCACCACTGATCCCACAGAAATACAAACTACCATCAGAGATTACTACAAACACGTCTACGCAAATAAACTAGAAAATCTAGAAGAAATGGATAAATTCCTCGACATGTACACTCTCCCAAGACTAAACCAGGAAGAAGTTGAATCTCTGAATAGACCAATAACAGGATCTGAAATTGTGGCAATAATCAATACCTTACCAACAAAAAAAGAGCCCAGGACCAGATGGATTCACAGCTGAATTCTACCAGAGGTACAAGGAGGAAATGGTACCATTCCTTCTGAAACTATTCCAATCAATAGAAAAAGAGGGAATCCTCCCTAACTCATTTTATGAGGCCAGCATCATCCTGATACCAAAGCCTGGCAGAGGCACAACAAAAAAACAGAATTTTAGACCAATATCCTTGATGAACATTGATGCAAAAATCCTCAATAAAATACTGGCAAAACGAATCCAGAAGCACATCAAAAAGCTTATGCACCATGATCAAGTGGGCTTCATCCCTGGGATGCAAGGCTGGTTCAATATATGCAAATCAATAAATGTAATCCAGCATATAAACAGAGCCAAAGACAAAAACCACATGATTATCTCAATAGATGCAGAAAAAGCCTTTGACAAAATTCAACAACCCTTCATGCTAAAAACTCTCAATAAATTAGGTATTGATGGGACGTATTTCAAAATCATAAGAGCTATCTATGACAAACCCATAGCCAATATCATACTGAATGGGCAAAAACTGGAAGCATTCCCTTTGAAAACTGGCACAAGACAGGGATGCCCTCTCTCACCACTCCTATTCAACATAGTGTTGGAAGTTCTGGCCAGGGCAATTAGGCAGGAGAAGGAAATCAAGGGTATTCAATTAGGAAAAGATGAAGTCAAATTGTCCCTGTTTGCAGATGACATGATTGTATATCTAGAAAACCCCATTGTCTCAGCCCAAAATCTCCTTAAGCTGATAAGCAATTTCAGCGAAGTCTCAGGATACAAAATCAATGTACAAAAATCACAAGCATTCTTATACACCAACAACAGACAAACAGAGAGCCAAATCATGAGTGAACTCCCATTCACAATTGCTTCAAAGAGAATAAAATACCTAGGAATCCAACTTACAAGGGATGTGAAGGACCTCTTCAAGGAGAACTACAAACCACTGCTCAAGGAAATAAAAGAGGATACAAACAAATGGAAGAACATTCCATGCTCATGGGTAGGAAGAATCAATATCCTGAAAATGGCCATAATGCCCAAGGTAATTTACAGATTCAGTGCCATCCCCATCAAGCTACCAATGCCTTTCTTCACAGAATTGCAAAAAACTACTTTAAAGTTCATATGGAACCAAAAAAGAGCCCGCATTGCCAAGTCAATCCTAAGCCAAAAGGACAAAGCTGGAGGCATCACAGTACCTGACTTCAAACCATACTACAAGCCTACAGTAACCAAAACAGCATGGTACTGGTACCAAAACAGAGATATAGATCAATGGAACAGAACAGAGCCCTCAGAAATAATGTCACATATCTACAACTATCTGATCTTTGACAAACCTGAGAAAAACAAGCAATGGGGAAAGATTCCCTATTTAATAAATGGTGCTGGGAAAACTGGCTAGCCATATGTAGAAAGCTGAAACTGGATCCCTTCCTTACACCTTATACAAAAATCAATTCAAGATGGATTAAAGACTTAAACGTTAGACCTAAAACCATAAAAACCCTGGAAGAAAACCTAGGCATTACCATTCAGGACATAGGCATGGGCAAGGACTTCATGTCCAAAACACCAAAAGCAATGGCAACAAAAGCCAAAATTGACAAATGGGATCTAATTAAACTAAAGAGCTTCTGCACAGCAGAAGAAACTACCATCAGAGTGAACAGGCAACCTACAAAATGGGAGAAAATTTTCACAACCTACTCATCTGACAAAGGGCTAATATCCAGAATCTACAATGAACTCCAACAAATTTACAAGAAAAAAACAAACAACCCCATCAAAAAGTGGGCGAAGGACATGAACAGACACATCTCAAAAGAAGACATTTATGCAGCCAGAAAACACATGAAAAAATGCTCATCATCACTGGCCATCAGAGAAATGCAAATCAAAACCACAATGAGATACCATCTCACACCAGTTAGAATGGCAATCATTAAAAAGTCAGGAAACAACAGGTGCTGGAGAGGATGTGGAGAAATAGGAACACTTTTACACTGTTGGTGGGACTGTAAACTAGTTCAACCATTGTGGAAGTCAGCGTGGCCATTCCTCAGGGATCTAGAACTGGAAATACCATTTGACCCAGCCATCCCATTACTGGGTATATACCCAAAGGACTATAAATCATGCTGCTATAAAGACACATGCACACGTATGTTTATTGCAGGATTATTCACAATGGCAAAGACTTGGAACCAACCCAAATGTCCAACAATGAGATACTGGATTAAGAAAATGTGGCACATATACACCATGGAATACTATGCAGCCATAAGAAATGATGAGTTCATGTTCTTATTAGGGACATGGATGAAATTGGAAACCATCATTCTCAGTAAACTATCGCAAGAATAAAAAACCAAACACCGCATATTCTCACTCATAGGTGGGAATTGAACAATGAGATCACATGGACACAGGAAGGGGAATATCACACTCTGGGGACTGTGGTGGGGTGGGGGGAGGGGGGAGGGATAGCACTGGGAGATATACCTAATGCTAGATGACGAGTTAGTGGGTGCAGTGCACCAGCATGGCACATGTATACATATGTAACTAACCTGCACATTGTGCACATGTACCCTAAAACTTAAAGTATAATAAAAAAAAAAAAAAGAAAAGAAAAACATACCTAACATCCCACAGACAGTTAAAAGAATGGATCAGTCATTAGTGAGAAAACATTTTGAATTAGAAGAAAGCTCTGAGGAAATATGTCAGAATTAATAGAGATTAATAAGGAGATGCAATATATGAAGAATTTAGAAACATCAACAATTAATCATAAAGTGCCAACCTACGTGGAATAGCAATGTGTGAAGGGAAAAATGTTCCTGAGAAAAAAATTGCATTTATTATCCAAAACAGGAAAGAAATGAGTCTATAGATTGAAAACGCCACTTATGCAACACATAGCAGGAGAAAAAATAACACCTAAACATATAGCATGACTGCAAAATACCATAGCTAAAGAAAAATCTTCTAAAACTAACAGGGAACAGGCAAATAACTTGTGAGGAGACAATTATATCAACAACATTGTCAAAAGAAGCAAAACACAACAGAAGAAAATGGAATAAAGCAGCTGAAAGATTCAGGTAAAGTATCACTTGAGAATCTGGCGTATACTAACTGTTGCCTTCACCAAAAGCATTACCTATTTTTAGTACATAACAATATCCTTTGAATGGTGTTATCGTTCCTGAGATGTTGGGAAGGCAATCCCTCAACTCCAAGCGATGGATATCCTACACCCTAAGGCAATTGTATAAGAGTCATTCCCTTTGTCAAATGATTGTATTAAGAATGAGCATATGGGCTGGGTGCAGTGGCTCACACCTGTAATCCCAGCACTTTGGGAGGCCGAGCAGGTGGATCACCTGAGGTCGGGAGTTCAAGACCAGCCTGACTAACAAGGTGAAAGCCCCGTCTCTACTAAAAAAATAAAAAAAAAAATTAGCCAGGCACAGTGGCATCGTAGCATGCACCTGCAGTCTCAGCTACTCTGGAGGCTGAGACAGGAGAATCCCTTGAACCCGAGAGGCGGAGGTTGCAGTGAGGTGAGATCGTACCACTGCACTCCAGCCTGGGCGATGGAGAGAGACTCCGAGGATGAGCATATGACATGATTCTGAGCCACCTGTCCTAAAGGGAGGCCTTCTGCGGGTGTCCTAGTAAAATTAAAAAGATAGTCTCAATTCCTGTTTCATACTCTTGATGGTATGTGTGAGAACAGGAACCTTAAAGCTCCTAGTTATTTCTTGGCGGTAAAGGAAGGCACAATACTAAACTCAGCTTCATGGCACTGTGGATGGCATAGAAGATGGAAAAATGCTGGGCCCTTATTAACAGCACTGACTTACTAAATTAAGCAAACCTGAATATAACTTGCCTTTGGGCTTCTTATAATTTGAGAAAATAAATGTTGGAATTGTTAAAGCCATCTTTAGTTGACTTTCCTATTGTATGCTACTTAAAGAAACCTAAGTATTCCAAAGTGGTGTAAGAATTGAAGTACTCATAGATCATACCTGCCAAGGATTACTAAAGTAATTGCTTCAACAAGAAAAATAAAAATAAAAGAGGCAGTGGGAACATATGTGAAAGGGAAGCTAAAATCTATGTACAAAAATTATCTGGAATAATGAACAGCTCATTACAACAATAATTATCTTCTGTTGACTAAATTTGGGAAATTTTAAATTTCTCTCTGACAATCCTTTTTTGCATTTTGTAAAATAAATACATGGCATTTTTTGAGATTAAAAAATCTTGCAATTTTAAAATAAACATCAACGGAACTTTATTGAACACCATTTTAACAGTTAATGATGGAAAATACAGTAAATTGTGATAGCAACTCACTGGTGTTACAATGTTCCACATATATTTTTATTACCAAATTTACCTCAATCTTATCATCACCTTTGATTAGTGTTATCTTGTAATTTAAAAACTGCTGTAAAACTTTTCTTCCCTTTTCTAACTTTGTATTATGGTGCCATATAATTATTTCTATTTTTAATACCACTTGTAGAATAAAAATATTTACTCAGCAAAATTATCTCAGCAACTCTCAGTGGCATTTTGAAAAACAATACATTTTCCAAAATAAAGATGAAAATATGCTTGTGATAGGTGCTGCCAATGCTATCATAAAAGGAATAGTTTTCTTCCCAATTTTATCTTTCCGTTGGTTGCCTTCTGTTTAGTTATAATTTTAAAAATATCCTTCAAAATACCATTCCTAACAAGCTTATATAAATTTAGCATTCATTTAATTAACCTTTCTTCAATAAGGATTTTCATTTGAAGTTCTGTGTTTCTATTTGTTCTGCATTCTCTTTGTATTAAATGGAAAAGCTTTCAGGAAGTTATTTTTTGAATATAGGAAACTAAACTTGAGCTGATGCAGAGGAAGTTGAAAATATAGACAACGTCATTTGCAGTTAAGGTCATATGAATGTTTATTTTGCTATAGGAGCTGGGCCTTGCTGGTGAGAACTACACAAATTTGACACAGAAAATAAGGATATATGAACAACCATTCACTGGTCCCATCACCGACTGAAGCCACCTGTTTTTGTTTATGGATGAGCCCACACAGACTGTGTAAATGTAGCTGGGGGGAAGACACCATAATCAGATGCAGTAGGTAGAAACAAATAGGCTTGAAAAGTGTGAATTTATTTAAAATGACAGCTCAAGAAGTTATACTTTTTAGAAAAGTGCATATTTTAAAAAATAATTCCAAGACAAGCCAATTACCATATGTTGTGAGATTTATAATTCATCATAAAATGAAATGTGTTAAAAACTTTCAATTATTTTCTTTTACTGGTAATGCTTTTGAGTGTTTCCTTTTGGATTCTATCAATTAATTGTTGGCTTTTAAAAAATTTTATGAAGCAAGATAACTTACAGTATTCAAAAGACACAGACAACATGAAATGGAGAAATTAAACATCACATATACAAACATTTCAGGTTCTTTTGCTGACATTTAATGCTTTTTAAGTAAAGAGGTTGTTTTAAAAACTCTGTATCATGGAATATTATACAGCCCTAAAAATGAAATCATTTCCTTTGTAGTAACATGGATGCAGCTGTAAGCCATTATCTTAAGGGAATTAATGCAGGAACAGAAAGCCATATACTACAGGTTCTTGCTTATAAGTGAACATAAGAAGCTAAACAATGGGTTCTCACAGACATAAAAGATGGCAACAATAGACACTGAGGACTAATAGGGGGACAGGGGGAAGGATTGAAAATGTCCTGGGTACTATGCTCACTACTTGGGTGACAGGATCAATTGTACACCAAACCTCAGCACTTTAAAATATATCCACTTAACAAACCTGCACATGTAACTCCTGAATCAAAAATAAAAGATGAAATCTTAAAAATGAAAATAAAATATTTTTAATATAGATATAATATGGATGTATTAGTTTCCCATTGCTGCTGTAACACCTTAAACTTAATGGCTTAAAACAACACACATTTATTTCCATTGAGTTCTGTAAGTCAGAAGTCTGAAGTGGAACTTACAAAGCTAAAATCAAGGTGTCAGTAGGGCTGTGTTGCCTCTGGAGACCCTAAGGGAGGATGTGTTTCTTTTCCTTTTCAGAGGCTAGCACATTCTTTGGCTGGTGATCCCCCCTCAATCTGACCTCTGCTTCTGTCTTCACTTCACATCCCCTAGTCTAATTCAAATCCTCCTACCTCCTCTTATACACATCCTTGTAATTAGATTAACTACCTAAATCATCCAAAATAATCTCCCCAACTCCACAATTTAATGATTTTTTAATTAAATAACATCTGCAATGTACCTTTTGCTTTGTAAGGTAACATGTCAACCAGTTCTAGAGACAATAACGTGAACATCTTCAGACGAGGGTACTATCTTGTTTACCACAGGTGATCTCTGTGACATTGTATCAAATGCTCAGTGAGTACCTACTGCTTTTTAATTTTGAAATATCTCATTTTATCAGCTAAAATAGTTTATCATTCTATGAATTCGATAGTTAACATATATAGGATAATACACAAAATTAACAAAATAACCTTCTATAAAAATTATCATGCTCAATATTACAATTAAGCAAATAAAATATTTTTGGTACTATTTTTAGCCTATGCATAAAATGTACTTATTAGAAAAAAAAAGTCTGTGAAAGGCTAAACAAACGTTGCTAATACAGTAAATTCTCTCTAGCTTTAAAAAGTTATTTATTTAGGAAAGATCTAAACAGTAATAATGGTGAGCATTTTATTTTTTCACATACACACATATTAGTGTAATATGTTTTATTTTCTTTTTTATGGAAACTTTTGCTCTTCATACAAAACTTTGAAATTGCAGGGAAAAATAATGGCATCTATCTAAAAACAAGCACTCTTAATATTGTCTCTGTACTCTTTCATGTCCATGTAAATTTGTTTTCCATTTATATAAATTTTAAAAATTAACTTTAGTGCTACTGGTCTTTATATATTTAATTTATTTGCCCAATTTTTCTTCATATTTTGAAGGGAATGCTTTTAGAATTTTAAACACTTAAAATTTAGTTAAATCATATTTAATTTGCTTACATTTTATAAATTATTTACATTTTATTAATATAACTGTGATGAGCATAATTATGCATTTTTTTTCTGAGAACAATTTTAAGGATGCAAAATGGAAATTTTTTTTTAAAGAATTGTTGGTATATAGTAGGTATATTTATTTATTTTTTCAGACGGAGTCTCGCTCTGTCGCCCAGGCTGGAGTGCAGTGGCGCGATCTGGGCTCACTGCAAGCTCCGCCTCCCGGGTTCAGGCCATTCTCCTGCCTCAGTCTCCCTAGTAGCTGGTTCTACAGGAAACTGCAACCACGCCTGGTTAATTTTTTTTTTTTTTTTTGTATTTGTAGTAGAGACGGAGTTTCACTGTGTTAGCCAGGACGGTCTCAATCTCCTGACCTCGTGATCCGCCCGCCTCGGCCTCGCAAAGCGCTGGGATTACAGGCGTGACCCACCGCTCCCGGCCAGTAGGTGTATATATTTAAGGGGTACATGAGATACTTTGCTGTAACCATGCAATGCATAATAATTACATCATGGTAAATGGGTATCCATTTCCTCACGCATTTATCCTTTGTGTTATAAACATTTGAATTATACTCATTTAGTTATCTTAAGATGTACAATTAAATTTTTACTGACTATAGTCACCCTGCTGTGCTATCAAAAACTAGGTTTTACTCATTCTAAACTACTTTTTATAACCATTAATCATCCTCACTTCCCCTCAACCCCTGTATGACCCTTCACAGCCTCTAGTTACCATCCTTCCATTTTCTATCTCCATGAGTTCAATTGTTTTAATTTTTAGCACAAACAAATGTGAGAATATGCAAATTTTGTCTTTCTGTGCCTGGCTTATTTCACTTAACATAATGATCCCAGATCCATCCTTGTTGTTGCCAACTACAGAGTGTCATTCTTTTGTATGGCTAAATAATACTCCATTGTATATGTGTATCACATTTTCTTTATCCACTAATCTGTTGATGGACCCTTAGGTTGCTTCCAAACCTTGGCTATTGTGGACAGTGCTGCGACATGCATGAGAGTACAGACGTCTCCTCCATGTACTGATTTCCTTTCTTTTAGGTATATACCCAGCAGTGGATTTGCTGGATTGTATTGCAGCTATTTTTTGGGTTTTTTTTGAGTAACCTCTAAACTGTTTTCCACCGTGGTTGTATTACTTTACATTCCCAACAACAGTGTAAAATTGTTCCCTTTTCTCTACATCCTCACCAGCATGTTATTGTCTGGTGAGGTGATATTACATTGTAGTTTTGATTAGCATTTCTCTGACGATAAATGATGTTGATCAATTTTTCATATACTTGTATGACATTTGCATGTCTTCTTTTGAGAAATGTCTATTCAGATCTTTTGGTCATTTTTTCATCAGTTTATTAGATTTTTTTCATGCAGAGTTGTTTGAGGTGCTTATCTATTCTGGTAATTAATCCCTCATCAGGTAGTTTTCAAATTTTTTCTCCCATTCTGTGAGTTGTCTCTTCATTTCCTTGATTATTTCCTTTGCTGTGCAGTATGATTCTGTTTGTTCACTTTTGCTTTGATTGCCTGTGCTTGTGGAGTATTGCCAAAGAAATTTTTGCCGAGACCAATGTCTGGAGAATTTTCCCAATCTTTTCTCGGAATTCTTTCATAGTTTGAGGTCTTTGATTGAAGTCTTTAATCCAGTTCATACAGATTTTTTTCTTTTTTCTTTTTTTTTTTTGCAATGGAATCTTGCTCTGTGGCCCAGGCTGGAGTGCAGTGGAATGATCTTGCCTCACTGCAACCTCCACCTCCCGGGTTCAAGTGATTCTCCTGCCTCAGCCTCCTGAGTAGCTGGGATTACAGGTGCCCATCACTACGTCCAGCTCATTTTTGTATTTTTAGTAGAAACGGGGTTTCACCATGTTGGCCAGGCTGTTCTTGAACTCCTGACCTTGTGATCTGCCTGCTTTGGCCTCCCAAAGTGTTGGGATTACAGGCATGACCTACCATGCCCAGCTGAATTGATTTTCTATATGGTGAGAGATAGGGTCTAGTGTCATTCTTCTGTATATGTATATCCAGTTTTCCCAAGACCATTTATTGAAGATACTGTCTTTTCCCCAATTTATGTTCTTGGCATCTTTGTCAAAAATGAGTTTACTGTAGGTGTATGGATTTGTTTCTATTTGTTACAATTTTGTTCATTTGTTACTATTTTGTTCCATTGATCTATGGGGTTTTTTTTATGCCAATATCATGCTGTTTGTGTTATAATAGCTCTGTAGTATAATTTTAAGCCAGATCATGTAAATTCTCATATTTTTTCTTTTTGCTCAGAATGGTTTTGGCTAGTCTGGGTCTTTTGTGGTTCCACAGAAATTTTAGTATTTTTTAAATATCTTGACAAAATATCGTTAGTATTTTGATAGGGATTGGATTGAGTCTGTGGATTGATTTAAGTAATATGGGCATTTTAACAATACTGATTCTTCCAACCCATACACATGAAATTCTTTGTGTGTGTGTGTGTCCTCTTCAATTTCTTTCCATCAGTGTTTTATAGTTTTCATTGTAGAAATCTTTTACTTTTTTAAGTTAATTTCTAGAAATTTAATTTTATTTGTGACTATTTTAAATGGAATTACTTTTTTAGTTCTTTTGCAGATTGTTTACTCTTGACATGTAGAAATGCTGCTGACCTTTGTATGTTGATTTTGTATCGTACAACTTTACTGGAGTTTTTTTTTTATCAGTTCTAATGGTTTTCTAATAGTCTTTAGGTTTGTCCAAATATAAGATCATATTATCTGCAAACAAGAATAATTTAACTTCTTTATTTCAAATTTGTAAGCCCTTTATTTATTTCTGTTACCTGATTGCTCTAGTTCAGACTCCTGGTACTATGTTTAGTAACAGTGGTGAAAGTAGGCATCCCTGTCGTGTTCCAGATCTAAGAGAAAAGTCTTTCCGTTTCTGCCCTATTCAGTACAATACTATCTGTGGATCTGTTGTATATGACTTTTATTATGTTAACATATATTTCTTCTATCCCCAGTGTTTTGAGATTTTTTATTATGAAGTGATATTGCATTTTATCAATGCTTTTTCAACGTCATTTGAAATGATCATACAGATTTTGTCATTTTGTTGATTATGTCATTTTGTTGATATAATCTATCACTTTGGTTTGCAAATGTTGAATCATCCTTGCATCACTGGGATAAATCCCACTTGGTCATAATGATCTTCTGAATGAATTGTTGAATTCAGTTTCCTATTATGTTTTTGAAAATTTTTGCATCAATATTCATCAAATATGTTTGTCTGTAGTTTTTTTTTGATATATCTTTGTTTTTTATATCAGGGTAATATAGGTCTCATAGAATGAGTAAGGAAGAAATCTCTCTTCCTTGATTTTTTTTAAAATTTGAGAAGGATTGGTATCAGTTCTTTAAATTTCTGATAGAATTCAGCAGTGAAGCCATTGGGTATTGGTATTTCATTACTGGAAGTCTTTTTATTATGACTGTAGTCTTATTACTTGTCATTGGCCTGTTCAGGTTTTGGATAAATCTTGGTCAGCTGCATGTGTCTAGGAATTTGTCCACTTCCTCTATATTTTCCAATTTATTGGCATGTAGTTGCCCAGAGTAGTCACTAATGATCCTTTCAATTTCTGTGGTACCAGTTGTAATGTCTCTTCTTTCATCCGTGATTTTATTTACTTAGATATTCTTTCTGTTTCTACTTAGTTTAGCTTACAGTTTGTCAATTTTATTTATCTTTTCAAAAACAAACTTAGTTTAATTGATCTTTTCTTTTGATTTCATTTCAAATTTATTTATATCTGCTCTGATCTTTATTATTTATATTCTGCTACTGATTTTGATTTTGGTTTAGTCTTGCTTTTCTAGTTTTTTGAGATATATCATTAGGCTATTGGCAATTTTCTTGTTTTTTGATGTAGGCATTTTTAGCTATAAATTTTTCCCTTAGTTCTGCCTTCATTATAACCCATAGGTTTTGGTATGTTGTGTTTCCATTATCCTTTGTCTCAAGAAATGTTTCAATTTCCCCCTTAATTTCTTCATTGACTCACTGGTCATTCAGAGGCACATTGTTTAATTTTCATGTATTTGTATGGTTATCAAAATTCATTTTCTTATTAATTTCTAGTTTTATTCTATTATGATTAGAGAAGATGCTTGATATTATTTTAATTTTTGAAATTTTAAGATTTTTTGGGACCCAACATGTTCTATCCTTAAGAAATATTCATGTGCTAAGAATTATGTGTATTCTGTAGCCACTGGATGAAATGTTCAGTAAATACCTGTTGGGGCAATTTGTTCTATGGTGTAGATTGTGCCTGATATTTCTTTAGTAATTTTATGTCTGAAAAATCGATCAAACGCTACAAGTTGGGTGCTGTAGTCTCCAGCTATTATTGTATTGGGGTCTGTCTCTCTCTCTGTAGCTTTAATAATATGTGTTTTATATATCTGGATGCTGCAGTGTTTGATGCATATTATATTTACAATTGTATCCTCTTGCTGAAATTATCCGTTTATCATTATCTCGTGACCTTCTTTGCCTCTTCTTACAGTTGTTGTCTTGAAATCTATTTTGTCTGATATAAGTATAGCTACAACTGTACTTTTTTGGTTTCCATTGGCATGAAATATCTGTTTTCTTTCTCTTTCAGTCCATGTGTATGTTTATAGATGAAGTGTGTTTCTTTTAGGCAACATCATTGAGTATTACTCTTTTATCTTTATCCCTTCATCTACTCCATGTCTTTTTATTGAAGAGTTTAGTCCATTTACATTCAATGTTATTATTGATAAGTAAGAACTTACTTCTAGCATTTTGTTGTTTTCTGGTGTCTTCGTCCCTCTTTCCTTCCTTTTTGTCTTCATTTTAGTGAAGGTGATTTCTTTGGTGGTATGATTTGATTTCTTACTTTTTATATTTTTGTGTATTCATTTTATGCTTTTTTTATTTGAGGTTACCATGAAGCTCACAAATATTATCTTATAACCCATGATTTTAAGCTGATAAAAACTTAATACTTATTGCATATGCAAACAAACATGCAAAAAGACTAATACAAACTCTATACTGTAACTTTATCTCTCCACTTTTTAACATTTTGTTGCTTCTCTTTATGTCTTACCGTACTGTCTATATGTTGAAAAGTTGTTGTAGTTATTATAATAGTTATTATTATTTCAATAGGTTTTTGGGGAATATTTCAACAGGTGTTTGGTTACATAAAGAAGTTTTGTGGTGGTGATTTCTGAGATTTTGGTGCACCCATCACCTGAGCAGTGTACACTATACCCAATGGGTAGTCTTTTATTCCTCACTCCCCTCAACCCATTTGTCCAAGTCCCCAAAGCCCATGGTATCATTCGTATGCCTGTGTCCTCAAAGCTTAGCTCCCACTTATGAGTGAGAAAATATGATGTTTAGTTTCCCATTCCTGAGTCACTTCACTTAGAATAATGATCTCCAATTCCATCCAGGTTGCTATAAAGGCCATTGTTTTTTTCCTTTTTTTTTTTTTTTTTTTTTTTTTGAGACGGAGTCTCGCTCTGTCACCCAGGCCGGACTGCGGACTGCAGTGGCGCAATCTTGGCTCACTGCAAGCTCTGCTTCCCAGGTTCACGCCATTCTCCTGCCTCAGCCTCCCGAGTAGCTGGGACTACAGGCGCCCGCCACCGCGCCGGGCTAATTTTTTGTATTTTTTAGTAGAGACGGGGTTTCACCTTGTTAGCCAGGATGGTCTCGATCTCCTGACCTCATGATCCACCCGCCTCGGCCTCCCAAAGTGCTGGGCTTACAGGCGTGAGCCACCGTGCCCGGCCTGTTTTTTTCCTTTTTATGGTTGAGTAGTATTCCATGGTATATGAAATATGTATATTCACCACATTTTCTTTTTCTACTCATTGATTGTTAGGCATTTGGGCTGCTCCCATAATTTTGCAATTGTGAATTGTGCTGCCACAAGCATGCATATATAAATATTTTTTTCTTATCATTACTTCTTTTCCTCTAGGTAGATACCCAAGAGTGGGACTGGTAGATCAAATGGTAGATCTACTTTTAGTTATTTAAGGAATCTCCACACTGTTTTCCACAGTGGTTTTACTAGTTTACATTCCCACTAACAGTATAAATGTGTTCCCTTTTTTACCGCATCCATGTCAACATCTTTTATTGCTTATGGCTATTCTTAAAGGAGTAAGGTGGTATCACATTGTGGTTTTGATTTTCATTTCTCTGATCATTAGTGATGCTGAGAATTTTTTATATGTGTGTTAGCCATTTGCATATCTTCTTTTGAGAATTGTCTTTCCAATGTTATCTTATAAAATTTTTATGGTTTCAGGTCTTAAAGACTTGGATCCATCTTCAGCCGATTTTTGTATAAGGTGGTAGATAAGGATCCAGTTTCATTCTTATACATGTGGCTTGCCAATTATCCCATCACCATTTATTAAATAGGGTGTCCTTTCCCTGCTTTATGTTTTTGTTTGCTTTTTCAAAGATAAGTTGACTGTAAGTATTTGGCTTTATTTCTGGGTTCTCTATTCTGCCCCATTGGTCGACATTAGGGTGATACTGGTTTCACAAAATGATCTATGTTTTTATATCATTATCATGCTCTTTTGGTGTCTATAGCCTTAGAGTATAGTTTGAAGTCATGTAATGTGATGCCTTCAGATTTTTTTTTGTTAGTCTTGCTTTGTGGGGTCTTTTTTGGTTCCATATAAATTTTAGGATTTTTTTTCTAGTTCCGTGAAGAATGATGGTGGTATTTTGATGGGAATTGCATTGAATTTGTAAATTGCTTTTAGCAGTCTGGTCATTTTCACAACATGATTGAACACATCCATGAGCATGGGATGTGTTTCCATTTGTTTGTGGCATCTATGATTTATTTCAGCAATGTTTTGTAGTTTTCCTCAAAGAGGTCTTTGATCTCCTTAGTTAAGTATATTCCCAAGTATTTTATTTTATTTTATTTTTTGCAGCTATTGTAAAAGGGGTTGAGTTCTTGATTTGCTTCTCAGCTTGGTCACTGTTGTTGTATTGCAGGGCTACTAATTTGTGTACATTAATTTTGTGTCCTGAAACTTTGCTGAATTCATTTACCAGTTCTAGGGGATTTTTGGATGTGTCTTTAGGGTTTTCTAGGAATATTATCATGTCATCAGCAAACAGTGACAGTTTGACTTCCTCTTTAGCAATTTGAATACCTTTTATTTCTTTCTCTTGTCTGATTGTTCTGGGTAGGAATTCCAGTACTATGTTGAATAGAAGTGGTGAAAGTAGGCATCCTTATCTTGTTCCAGTTCTCTGGGTGAATGCTTTCAATTTTTCACCATTCAGTATAATGTTGGCTGTGGGTTTGTCATAGATAATTTTTATTACCTTAAGGTAGGTCCCTTCTATGCTTATTTTGCTGAGGGTTTTAAGTATAAAGAGATGCTACATTTTGTCCAATGATTTTGTTGCATCTATTTAGATGATCATGTGATTTTTGTTTTTAATTTGGTTTATGTGGTGTATTACATTTATTTGTGTATGTTAAACCATCTTTGTCTCCCTAGCATAAAACCCACTTGATCATAGTGGAATGTTTTTTTGATATGTTGTTGGAATTGGTTAGCTAGTATCAGGGACATTGGTCTGTAGTGTTTTCGTTGTTGTTGTTTTGTCCTTTCCTGGTTTTGGTATTAGGGTGATACTGGCTTCATAGAATGATCTAGAGAGAATTTTCTCTTTCTCTGTCTCTTGGAATAGTGTCAATAGGAATAGTACCAATTCTTCTTTGAATGCCTGATAGAATTCAGCTGTGAATCCATCTGGTTCTGGACTTTTTTATTCTTGGTAACTTTTTAATTGCTATTTTAATCTTGCCGCTTGTTATTGGACTGTTCAGAGTTTCTATTTCTTACTGGTTTAATCTAGGAAGGTTTTATATTTCCAGAAATTTATCCATCTCCTCTAGCTTTTCTAGTTTATGTGCATAAAGGTGTTCATAGTAGCCTTGAATAATCTTTTGTATTTCTGTGGTATCAGTTGTTTATTTATCTTTTCAAAGAACCAGTTTTTTGTTTAATGTTTCTTTTGCATTTTTTTTTTTGGTTGTTGTTTCAAAACAATTTAGTTCTGCTCTGATCTTTCTTATTTCTTTTCTTCTTCTGGGTTTGGGTTTGGTTTGTTCTTGCTTTCCAACTCCTTGAGGTGTGATCTTAGATTGTTGATTTGTGCTTTTTCAGACTTTTCAATGTAGGCCTTTAATACTGTGAACTTTCTTCTTAGCACCACCTTTGCTATAACCCAGAGGTTTTGATAGGTTTCATCACTATTATCATCCAGGTCAAAATTTGT
Organism: Homo sapiens; assembly: GCF_000001405.40. NCBI lineage: Eukaryota > Metazoa > Chordata > Mammalia > Primates > Hominidae > Homo > Homo sapiens. Next base: position 25,365,668 of record NC_000005.10, on the reverse strand, counting down.
TTTAAATTTCCATCTTGGTTTTATTGTTGACCCAATGATCATTCAGGAGCAGATTATTTAATTTCCACATATTTGCATGGTTTTGAGGGCTCCTTTTGGAGTTGATTTCCAATTTTATTCCACTGTGGTCTGAGAGAGTACTTGCTATAATTTTGATTTTTAAGACTTTGTTGAGACACGTTTTGTGGCCTATCATATGGTCTGCCTTGCAGATGTTCTAAGTGCTGATGAATAGAATGCATATTTTGCAGTTGTTGGGTAGAATGTCCTGTAAATATCTGTTAAGTCCATTTGTTCCAGTGTATAATTTAAGTCCATTTTCTTTTGTTGACTTTCTGTGATGACCTGTCTAGTGCTGTCAGTGGAGTATTAAAGTCCTCCACTGTTATTGTGTTGCTATCTATCTCATTTCTTAGGTATAATAGTAATTGTTTCTTAAATTTGAAAACTCCAGTGTTAGGTGGATATATATTTAAGATTGTGATATGTTCCTTTTGGACTAGTCCTTTTATCATTGTATAATATCCCTGTGTCATTTTTAACTGTTGTTGCCTTAAAGTTTGTTTTGTCTGATATAAGAATGGCTGCTCCTGCTTGCTTTTGGTGTCTATTTGCATGGAATGTTTTTTCCACCCCTTTACCTTATGTTTATGTGAGTCCTTACGTGTCAGCTGAGTCTTTCAAAGACGGTAGATATTTGGCTGATGAATTCTTACCAATTCTACCATTCTATATCTTTAAGTGGAGCATTTAGGCCATTTACATTCAACATTAGTATCAAAATGTGAGGTACTATTATTTTATCATGCTATTTGATGCTTGAATACCTTGGGGTTTTTTATTGTGTTGTTGTTTTATAGGCTGTATGAAATTTCTGCTTAAAGGAGATGCTATTTTTCTGTATTCTGAGGTTTTTTTTCAAGATTTAGAGCTCCTTTTAGCAGTTCTTGTAGTGCTGAATTGGTAGTGACAAATTCTCTCAGCGTTTGATTGTCTGAAAAAGACTGTATTTTTCCTTCATTTATGAAGCTTAGTTTTGCTGGATACAAAATTTTTTCCTGATAATTGCTTTGTTTAAGGAAGATAAAGATAGGATTCTAATCCCTTCTCAGTTGTAGGGTTTCTGCTGTGAAATCTACTGTTAATCCATTTTCCTTTATAAGTAACCTGTTGCTTTTGCCTCGCAGTTCTTAAGATTCTTTCTTTTGTCTTGACTTCAGATTATCTGATGACTATGTACTTATGCAATGTTCAGTTTGTGATAAATTTCCCAGGTGTTGTTTGAGCTTCTTGTATTTGGATGTCTAGATCTCCAGCATGGCCGGGGAAGTTTTCCTCAATTATTCCCTCAAATATGTTTTCCAAACATTTAGATTTGTTTTCTTCAACGGAAACACTAATTGTTCTTAGGTTTGGTTATTTAACGTAATCCCAAACTTTTTGGAGGCTCTGTTCATTTATTTTTCTATTTTTTATTTTTATTTCTGTCTTTTTCAAATTTGGTTAATTCCAAAGCCTTATCTTAGAACTCCGAGGTTCTTTCTTCTACTTGTTTTATTCTATTGCTGAGACTTTCCAGTGCATTTTACAATTATCTGTGTCCTTAATTTCCAGCAGTCGTGACTGTTTTTTATTTATACTATCTATTTCATTGGAGACCTTTTCATTCATATCCTGTATCTTTTTTGATTTCTTCAAGTTGGACTTTACCTTTCTCTAGTGGCTTCTTGATTGGCTTAAAAGTCGACTTTCTAAATTCATTTTTTTGGCAACTCAGAGATTTTTATCTTGATTTGGATTTGTTGCTGGTGAGCTACTGTGATCATTTGGGGGTGTTAAAGAACCTTGTTTTTTCATACTACCAGAATTGTTTTTCTGTTTTATTCTCATTTGGATAGACTATGTCAGAGGAAAGATCTGAGACTCAAGGGCTGCTATTAAGATTATTTTGTCCCATGGTGTTCTCCCTTGATGTGGTGCTCTCCTCTTTCCCATAGAGATGGAACTTCCTGAGAGCCAAACTGCAGTAATTGTTATTTCTTTTCTGGATCTAGCCATCCATATGAGCTACTGGGCTCTGAGCTGGTACTAGGGAGTGTCATATGATTTGATCAATCTTCAGTTCTCTCAGCCATGGATACCAGCATCTGTTCCAGGAGAGGTAGCAGAAGAATGAAGTGGGCTCTGTGAGTGTCCTTGGTTGTAGTTTTGTTAAGTGCACTGGTTTTGTGTTCGTTGGCCTCCATCCAGGAGGTGGCATTTTCAAGAGTGCACTGGCTGCACTAGTATAGGGAGGATCAGGCCATGGGCAGGGCCGTAGAGCTCCCAAGAGATTAAGTCCTTTGTCTTCAGCTACCAGGGTGGGTACAGAAAGACCATCAGATGGGTACAGGGTGAGGCATATCTGAGCTTAGACTCTCCTTGGGCAGGGCTTGCTGTGGCTGGTGTTGGGGATGGATGTGTGATTCCCAAGTCAATGTAGTTATGGTCCCGAGGGGATTATGGCTGCCTCTGCTGTGTCACACAAGTCACTAGGGAAGTGGGGAAAAGCCAGCAGCCTGGATGTCCAGGCCTCACCCAGCTCCCACGCAGCCCACAGCTTGAAAGGCTGATCTCACTCCCCCACTATGCCTCCCTTGACCCCAGGAGCACAAAGTTTATTACCGGCAGCCTGTGCGCAGGGCTGAGACTTGCCCCAGGCTACAAGCCTCCCAACTGAGAAAGCAAGCTGACTCACAGTTCCTCAGCTGTCCTACAGAGCCTGCAGTGGCAGCCCATCTCCTGTGGATTCTGTCGGCTTTCCTGGTATGTTCCTACAGTACTTCTTGGAGCAAAAGTTCATGATGTAGGTCTCCAAATGCTGCTCTGTCCATCCGAGTGGGAGCTGCAAGTTAGTCCTGCCCCCTATTCACCATTTACCCCTCCATCATAGTTATTATTTTTGATTGGTTCATCTTTTAGTCCTTCTACTTAAGAGTAGTTTACACACAACAATTACAGTGTTATAAGAGTTTGCATTTTTCTGTAATTACTGTTTATTACCAGTGAGTTTTGTACCTTCAGATTATTTATTTTTGCTCATTAATTTCTTTTTCTTTATTTTTGCTCATTAACTTCTTTTTCTTTCATGTTTAAGAATTCCCTTTAGCATTTTTTTGTAAGACAGGATAGGTATTGATAAAATCCCTCAAATTTTGTTTATCTGGGAAGGTCTATATTTCTCCTTTACCCTTAAAAAATATATTTGGCCAGGTAAGGTGGCTCATGCCTGTAATCCCCGCACTTTAGGAGGCCAAGGCAGGTAGATCACCTGAGGTCAGGATTTCGTGATCAGCCTGGCCAACACAGTGAAACCTCATCTCTACTAAAAATACAAAAATTAGTCAGTCATGGTGGCGGCTGCCTGTAATCCCAGCTACTTGGGAGGCTGAGGCAGAAGAATTGCTTGAACCCAGGAGGCAGAGGATGCAGTGAGCAGAGACTACAACATTGCACTCCATCCTGCGAAACAAGAGTGAAACTTCCATCTCAAAAAAAAAGATTTTTTTTTACCAGACAGACTATTGTAGGGTAAACTTTTTTTTCTTTTAGCACTTAAAATATGTCACATCACTCTCTTCTTGTCTATAAGGGTTCCACTAAAAAGTCTACTAGCGGACATATTGGAGCTCCATTCTATGGTATTTGTTTCTTTTCTCTTGCTGCCATTAGGATCCTTTGTTTTTCCTTGTCTTCTGGGGGTTTTATTATGAAATGACTGTCTTGATGTGGTCTTCTGTGGGCTACATCAAGGCATTGTGGTTCTTGCAGATTCACAGATGTACTGCATAGGCGGTCCTGAATAAGATCTGGAAGAATTCTCTGAATCTGCTGGTGTTCTATAACCAACTTGTTCTTGAATGTTGACACCTTTGTCTAACTTGTGGAAATTCTCTGATACTATCCTTTTGAATAAATTTTCTATCCCTATGTCTTTTTCTTTTAGATCAATAACTCTTAGATTTTCCCTGTTTACGCTATTTTACAGATTTTGTAAACATGCTCCATTGCTTTTTGTTCTTTTTTATTTTGTCTTCTCTGACTGCATTCTTTTTTATTTATTTTTATTTTCTTATTATACTTTAAGTTCTAGGGTACATGTGCACAACGTGCAGGTTTGTTACATATGTGTACATGTGTCATGTTGGTGTGCTGCACCCATTAACTCGTCATTTACATTAGGTACATCTCCTAATGCTATCCCTTCCGCTCCCCCAACCCCACAACAGTCCCCGGTGTGTGATGCTCCCCTTCCTGTGTCCAAATGTTCTCATCATTCAATTCCCACCTATCAGTGAGAACATGCAGTGTTTGGTTTTTTCTCCTTGTGATAGTTTGCTGAGAATGATGGTTTCCGGCTTCATCCATGTCCCTACAAAGGACACGAACTCATCTTTTTTTATGGCTGCATAGTATTCCATGGTGTATATGTGCCACATTTTCTTAATCCAGTCTATCATTGATGGACATTTGGGTTGGTTCCAAGTCTTTGCTATTGTGAATAGTGCCGCAGTAAACATACGTGTGCATGTGTCTTTATAGCAGCTTGATTTATAATCCTTTGGGTATATACCCAGTAATGGGATGGCTGGGTCAAATGGTATTTCTAATTCTAGATCCTTGAGGAATCGCCACACTGTCTTCTGTAATGGTTGAACTAGTTTACAGTCCCACCAACAGTGTAAAAGTGTTCCTATTTCTCCACATCCTCTCCAGCACCTGTTGTTTCCTGACTTTTTAATGATTGCCATTCTAACTGGTGTGAGATGGTATCTCATTGTGGTTTTGATTTGCATTTCTCTGATGGCCAGTGATGAAGAGCATTTTTTCATATGTCTGTTGGCTGCATAAATGTCTTCTTTTGAGAAGCGTCTGTTCATATCCTTCACCCACTTTTTGATGGGGTTCATTGTTTTTTTCTTGTCAGTTTGTTTGAGTTCTTTGTAGATTCTGGATATTAGCCCTTTGTCAGATGAGTAGATTGCAAAAATTTTCTCCCATTCTGTAGGTTGCCTGTTCACTCTGATGGTAGTTTCTTTTGCTGTGCAGAAGCTGTTTAGTTTAATTAGATCCCATTTGTCAATTTTGGCTTTTGTTGCCATTGCTTTTGGTGTTTTAGACATGAAGTCCTTGCCCATGCCTATGTCCTGAATGGTATTGCCTAGGTTTTCCTCTAGGGTTTTTATGGTTTTAGGTCTAACATTTAAGTCTTTAATCCATCTTGAATTAATTTTTGTATAAGGTGTAAGGAAGGGATCCAGTTTCAGCTTTCTCCATATGGCTAGTCAGTTTTCCCAGCACCATTTATTAAATTGGGAATCCTTTCCCCATTTCTTGTTTTTGTCAGGTTTGTCAAAGATCAGATGGTTGTAGGTATGTGGTATTATTTCTGAGGGCTCTGTTCTGTTCCATTGGTCTATATCTCTGTTTTGGTACCAGTGCCATGCTGTTTTGGTTACTGTAGCCTTGTAATATAGTTTGAAGTCAGGTAGCATGATGCCTCCAGCTTTGTTCTTTTGGCTTAGGATTGTCTTGGTAATGTGGGCTCTTTTTTGGTTCCATATGAACTTTAAAGTAGTTTTTTCCAATTCTCTGAAGAAAGTCATTAGTAGCTTGATAGGGATGGCATTGAATCTATAAATTACCTTGGTCAGTATGGCCATTTTTACGATATTGATTCCTCCTATCCATGTGCGTGGACTGTTCTTCCATTTGTTTGTGTCCTCTTTTATTTTGTTGAGCAGTGTTTTGTAGTTCTCCTTGAAGAGGTCCTTCAGGACCTCTCTGACCCATTTTTAAATAGGCTGTTTTCTAGCCCAGTCATTACTTTATTTTCTCAATCAATTCTGCCATTAAGAGACTCTGATGTATTCTTCCCTATGTCACTTGCATTTTTCAACTTTACAATTTCTGTTTGATGCTTCATAATTTTTCCATCTCTTTGTCAAATTTATCTGCTAGAATTCTGAGTTCCTTTTTTGTGTTATCTAGAATTTCTTTGAGTTTCTTCAAAACAACTACTTTGAATTCTGTCTGAAAAAGCACATATCTCTGTTTCTCCAGGATTGATCCTTGGTGCCTTTAGATCAATGGTGCCTTTGGACCAACTTGTTTGTTTGGTGAAGTAACATTTTTCTGTACAATCTTGATGTTTGTAGATGTTTGTCAGTTTCTTGGCATTGAAGAATTGGGTATTTAATGTAGTCTTTATTGTCTGAGCTTGTTTGTGCCTGTGTTTCTTAGGAAGGCTTTCCAGCTATTCAAAGTGAATTAGTCCTCAAGCCCAATAATGCTGTGGTTCTTGCAGATTCATATAGATAGTGCATAGGTGGTCTTGAATAAAATCCAGAAGAATTCTCTGAATTACCAGAAATAGACTCTTGTTCTTTTCCCTTACTTTCTTCTGAACAAACAGAGGCTCTCTCTCTCTCGGTGCGGAGCCTCCTGTAGCTGGAGGTGAGGTGATGCAAGCACTCCTATGGCCACTACCACTGAAACTGCCCTGGGTTAGACCTGAAACCAGCACAGCACTGGGTCTAACCCAAGGCTTGCTGTAACCACTACCTGACTACTGCCTATGTTCACTCAAGGCTCTAGGGTTTTATAGTACAGCAAGTGGGGAAGCCAGCCAGGTTTGTTTCCTTTCCTTCAGGGTGGTGAGTTCTTAGGCCCTGGACTGGTCCATAGAGTTTGTCTGGAAGCCAGAGACTGAAGTCAAAGACCTTAGAAATCTACTTGATATTCTATTCTACTATTCTATTCTATTCTATTCTATTCTATTCTACTGCAGCTAAGCTGGACTTCAAGCCACATGACAGTCTTTCCCAGCCTTCCCTCCCCTTTCCCAATGGCCACCCCTATTGGACCACAGAGAGTTCTACCAGGCCATCACAGATGTTCACTTAAAGCCCAAGGGCTCTTCAGTCAGTTTGTGAATGCTGCCAGGCCTGCGACACACCGTTCAGGGAAGATGGTTCCCCTTTTGCCCAGGGCAGGTCCAGAAGTGCTGTCCAAGTGCCTAGACCTGGACTTGGGGACCCTGAGAGTTTGCAAGGTGCTATACCCCACTGTGGTCAAGCTGGCACCTAAGGTACAAGACAAAGTCCCCTTCACATTTCTCTCTGCTTTTCTCAACCAGAAGGAGTCTTTCATCAAAACCACCATAGCTGAGAATGTGCTGGGTCACACCTGAGGTCAGCATATCTCAGAGTCTCACCCAAGGCTCAAAGTATACTACCTGGGTATCACTGTTGGTTATTCAGGGCCCAAGGGGTCTTTAGTCAACAGGTGATAAATCCTGCCAGGACTAGATCCTTCCTTTCAAAGCAGCAGGTTCCCTCTTGTTCAGAGTATGTCTAGAAATGTCATCTGGGAGCTGGGGCCTGAGATCGGAGCCTCACGATACTGCCCAGTGCCCTATCTTAGTGTGGCTGAACTGGTATTCAAAATGCAAGATGAAGGCCTCTTTGGTCTTCCCTCTCCTCTTCTGAAGCAGAAGGAAGGAGTCATTTTCATTGCTGCAAGCTGTGCCTCCTGGGTTTGTGAAAGTGGTGGTACAAGCATTCCCTTAGCCACTCCAGCTGATGTCTCCCTAGGTCACATGCCACCCTAGTGCACTGGCTCTAAGCCCAGTCCAGCGATAACGCTTGCCTAGGAATTGCAGCCCTTATGTCCTAGACCATCTTTCAAGTTTGCCTAGAACCCCAGAGCACTTGAGCCCATGGTGGTGATGCTTGCCGAAACTCAAGTTCTGACCAAGGGGATAGGCAATTTCCGTGTGGTTAGGGCTTATCGAAATGCTCCTTTCATAAGCGAGTGCTGGCTGAGCCCAGCATGACTTTTGTCTCTGCTATGACGAGATGGCACTGTGTTCAATGCCAAATTCTCAGTTGCTGTGCTCGCCCTCACTCAAGGGCACAGATGCTCTCTCCACACTATGCACCCACTGCAATGGGAAATGGGAGGAATTGACATCAACAATTCAAGACTGTCTTTCTTACCCTTTTCAAGACCTCTTTTAGTGATAGGAAGTTTTAACCCAGTACTGTAATTGCTAATCTGACTTTTGGTTCTTATGACTGTGTTTTTGTTGTGTGTAGAAAGTTGTTAAAATGTGGTCTTCCTGAGGAGAGGAATGATCAATGCAAGCTTCTATTTGGCCATCTTCCTTCACCCTCAGGAAATAGGTTCTTAAAACTGTTTTTCTACCAGTGATCATTAAATTTTATTGATGAAGAATCACAAACCTATATTTTAATCCACCCAAATATATTACAGAAGAATTGCAGAGAATTAAATAACATAAGGAAAGTCACCCAATTATAAAAATAGAGACTATTAACATGATATAAAGGTATATGTTTTAGTTATATTTGCAATCTCATTTTGTTTCTAAAATATATTTGAATTGTTTTGGACATATCAAAAGAAATATGAGGAACAGAAGGTATAACCAAAGAAAAAATGGATATGATATGTATCGACATCTTTTATATGTTAATACAGAGCATTAATTCACATTAACTTGATTAAATATTCTAACTCACGATTTTCTTGGAGAAAGATAATTTTGAGGAGATGGATATGTTAATTTACTTGACTACAGTAATTAGTCACTATGTATATCAAAACATCATGTCGCACACCTTAAATGTATACAATTCTTATGGAAACATTTTTAAGAAGATAGAAATTTAGAGACTGTTTCTCAGTATTCTACAGGCAATGTTTTCATGTGCTGTGTATTTAAATGAGAGTAATAAAGTGTCATATAAATGGCAATTACTCATATTTCACAGCTTATCATCTTAAAACACTTTTTAAGCTGTATATTATGGCCTGGTGAATCTTAAGTAGCAAGAAATATTGCAGTTATTGCGAGCAAAAATACTGAAAGACTATCTTTTCATTATTTCTGAAGAAAAATCATCAATATTTGGTTTTCAAGTAAGAATAATTTCAATTGTAGATAAAATGAAGATGTTTTGTTTAACCACACTGTTTTATTACTGCGCCACAATTTACATAAGTCTATCCTACCATTTACTGGAATATAAATCTGATATACCATTTAATTCTAACCAATAAAAACATAAACTTATAGGGGCCTTTGTTATTGGAGATAAGTTAACTTAGTAACACAATTAACATGAAAAATAGGAAGGGAAGCAAAACAATACAGGGTCTTTATTAATACTGATGTCCAAAGTCAAGGTTTTTAGTCTCATATAAGAATGAGTTATAGTTCACGTGGCAAAAGTCAGACTTTAATATATCATGTATTTAATTGTCTATGACTAACATATGCTTAATTTTTTCCTTTTTTTTTTTAAGAGCAGGTCAAATTTAACTTGAAAGTCTTAAATGAAGAGGGCAACACAAAAGCAAACACACACATGATAAACCATCAAAGCATTAACATGAACACCACCACCCATCATAAAAAAACAATGTCAATAGAAATACATTGAGTTTTTAATACATCAAAATGCAAATGATGCACATGAGTCTCTTAGGAACACAACCACCTACCCAGATAATTACCCTTGAAGTCCTAGTGATTCAGCATGATCCTCCTCCAAAAATCAGATTTATCTGGACCAGAACTGGAAACTTTCTGAGAAAATACATTAAAAAAGAATTGACTAGCAAAAGTGCAAATGAGAAATAGCATTACATGGAGGATCTTGAATATTTAAATTGAAAACAAATTTAGACTTCTATTGATACTGCAAGAAATCCTACTCTCTCCCATTTAAACATTATTGAAATTCCTACTCCTTTGTAAACTGATTGTAAAATTACTCTGGCTTAATTTATAGAGCTAAACTATTGCAATACCCCGGAAGAAATAAATGGTAAGTTTCTAGATGGGGGGAAAAGCTGTGTGACAGTGCTGAGCAATGAGAAATAAAACAGTAAGTGCTTTGAGACAATGAGACATTCCGAAGAGATAAAATAAGCAATTTCTTGTGAATATAGAGTGGTCATGACCACTTTTTAGGTGGCATCCAAACTGTGCAATAAATGAAAACAAAATATACTACTGCATGAGGAAATTCAATAATTCAGGTCTTTTTAAAAAAATTAACATATGACATAGCTCTCTCTGAAAACATTTTTCCCCACTTCCTAACATACACAAACATACATAAACAGCAAATAGGATTGGGTACTAATGTGATATATGGTGTATTAGATATAGTGTATATATATTGTTTTATGCTAATAAATGTGGTTTTGTTATTTGATTTTCAAAAAAAGCATTTTTCTTTAGAACAATTTCAGGTTCACAGCAAAATTGAGCACAAAGTAGCATTCCCATTTACCACCCATCCTCACCTCTGCAAAAACTTCCCCCACTATCTGCATCCCACAAAACAGTGGTGCATTCTTAACAATTGATGAACCTACATTCATTATCACACTATATCATTAACACCCAAAGTTTATAGTTAACATTAGGCTTCACTCTTGGTGTTGCACATTCTGTGGGTTTTGACAAATGAATAGTGACATGTATCCACCATTGTATTAGGTTGGTGCAAAAGTAATTGCAGTTTTTGCCATTGAAAGTAATGGCGGAAACAGCAATTATTTTTGCACCAACCAATAGCAAGTACTATAGACTCAGTGCCCTAAAAATCCCTTCTGTTCTGCTTCTTCATTCTCTCTCCTGTAACCACTAGCAATAATTGATCTCTTTTCTGTCTCCATAAATTTGCCTTTTCAAAATGTCATATACTTGGATTCATATGGTATGTATTTTTTCACATTGGCTTCTTTCACTTAGTAATGTGAATTTAAATGTCCCCTATCTATTTTTAAGGCTTGATAGTGCATTTCTTTTTAGTACTGAATAGTTCTTCATTGCCTGTGTGTATTACAGTTTATCCAGTTGCCTATTGAAGGATATCTTGTTTGCTTCCGAGTTTTGGCAATTATAAAGCTGCTTTACACATTTTTGTGAAGGTTTTTGTGTGGACGTAAGTTTTCATTTGGGTAAATACTACAGAACACAATTGCTGGATTGTATGGTTAAATTATACTTATCTTAGTAGGACACTCTTAAACAGTCTTCCAAAGTGGCTATACCATTTTGCATTTCCACCAGCAGTGAATCACAGCTCCTGTTGCTTTACATCCTTGCCAGCAGTTGGTGGTGTCAGTGTTTTAAATTTTGGTCACTCTAATAAGTGTGTAGTGGTATCCCATTGTTGTTTTAATTTGCATTTTCCTAGTGACATATGATGCTGAACATATTTTCATATACTTACTTGCCATCTGTAGATTTTCTTCAGTGAAGTATGTCCTCAGGTCTTTTTCAAAAAAAGTAATAAGATTTTCTGTTTTCTTATTGTTAAAAAGTTTAAGAGTTCGGCCGGGTGCGGTGGCTCATGCCTGTAATTCCAGCATTTTGGGAGGCTGAGGCGGGCGGATTATGAGGTCAGGAGATCGAGACCATCCTGGCTAATACGGTGAAACCCCGTCTCTACTAAAAATACAAAAAATTATCTGGGCATGGTGGCGGGTGCCTGTAGTCCCAGCTACTCGGGAGGCTGAGGCAGGAGAATGGCGCGAACCCAGGAGGCGGAGCTTGCAGTGAGCCGAGATCGCGCCACTGCACTCCAGCCTGGGCGAAAGAGCGAGACTCTGTCTCAAAATAAATAAATAAACAAATAACATAAAATAAAGAGTTCTTTGTATATTATCTTTTCTTTTTCTTTTTTTTTTTTCTGAGACGGAGTCTCACTCTTTCGCCCAGGCCGGACTGCAGTGGTGCTATCTTGGCTCACTTCAAGCTCCGCCTCCCGGGTTTGCGCCATTCTCCTGCCTCAGCCTCCCGAGTAGCTGGGACTATAGGCGCCCGCCACCACGCCTGGCTAATTTTTTGTGTTTTTAGTAGAGAAGGGGTTTCACCGTGTTAGCCAGGATGGTCTCGATCTCCTGACCTCGTGATCCGCCCTCCTCGGCCTCCCAAAGTGCTGGGATCACAGGCGTGAGCCACCGTGCCCGGCCTGTATATTTTCATTAGCAGTCTTTTATCAGATGTATCTATTGCAAATATTTTCTCTCAGCCTATGGCTTGTCATCTCATTTGCTTGACATTGTCTTTTGAAGAGCAGAAGTATTTTATTTTAGTGGATTGCAGATTATCAATTGTTTCTTTCATTAATCATGACTTTGGTGTTCTATCTAAAAAGTCGCAATACCCAAGGTCGTCTAGATTTTCTGCTGTGTTATCTTCCAGGAGTTCTGTAATTTTGTGTTTTACATTTAGGTCTATGATTCATTTTGTGCTAATTTTTGTGAAGAGTGTAAAATCTGTATCTAGATTTACGTCTTTGCATGCAGAGGCTCGGTTGTTCCAGCACTATTTATTGAAAGGAGTATCTTTTCTTCATTGTGTTGCCTTATTCCTTTGTTAAATATCATTTGACTATATTTATCCGTATCTATTTCTGGACTCTCTTACCTATTTTTTCATCAATTTCTATCATTGTCTAATATTTCTAAAGTTATGGGACATTGCTTTCATTCTTATTTTTATTTTATTAATCAAAACTTCACAATATATTTTGTATGAAATACTTATTGCACTTAGAATTAAAATAAAATTTTACAGTGTAAATTCTACGTTGAATTTTTCATAATTTTTGTTTTTTAAAGTTATACAAAATGCACAGTTCCTCTTCTTACAGCTGTTGGTAAATAATATGTATAGATCTGTATCTAAATACTATTAATGTCACCTTTTCTTGGCAAGAATAACACACCATTTATTGATTCTATATTAACACTGTACCAAATTTAGCATTGGGAACAAAATTCTAAAGAAAATTAGAGGTATGGAGAATTTTATAAAGAGTTTCCCATATGCTTCAGAAATCCATGTGTGTTAAGAATAAAACAATGAATTTTTATTATAACAAAGAAGAATTGAGACAGATGGAATGACACAGTAAAAAAATACTTTCGAAAAATGAATTTTTAAAATAATCACACTTCTCTTATTTTTCTCCAAATTCTTAACCCAATGGTGTATTGTCAATTTTGTAAAAACAAACAACAATAAAAAGGTGTCATGACTTTAATTTTTCCTTTCATCATAAAATGGTAATTTTCCAGTAAAATATGTGAAATGAATTTTTTAGTGATGACAATGATCATGATGATAATTTTATAAATACTGAAATAGTTTAAATTTACCAATGACAAAGAGCTTTTACTGCTTTCTGAGGCTGTTTATTAATGGATATAATGAGTTTTATAATGCCTATCATAGAGATTTGAAATAAGAAATTATAAAACGTTGAATAGCACTTAAATATATCTTTTTAAAAAAACTTCTTGTGGGTGATCTTCAATACATACTTCACTGTACCAATTGAGATGTGATTTAAGGATATTTTATCAGTTAAACTATTACCTTTTTATATCTGTTTATCTGGATTTGTGTTTGTTTCAGAGATTTGATCTTATGTAATCTTCAGAGCTGGCTAAGCTTCCTGGTTAGGCCATCTCTGCAACTCTCTTTGCCTCTGATACTGGAGTTGAAGTCTACAGGAGAGGAGTCAGGAAGGAAAATTGGAGGTAAGATAAGGAACAAGAACAAGCTGGAATTCACAGCAGAATTGGAGCCCATGATTATGGACAGAAAACTATGCTTGTTTTTGTGGCCTTAGACCCGGTATCTGATAGGGTATCCTGTAGAAGCTGGGCCTCTCATAGCAGAGCTCAACACATTCACCTAGCATAGATTGAGAGAAGCTTCAAGGAGGATTGAGGGGATGGTAAAGCATTTTAAGGCCAAGCTGCTGCTCCTCTTGCTAATGATGTAATTCCATCTTTATCAACATAAGAGCTTAAAAATTGTAGCGTCACCTCTGCTCTCCAAATCAAGAACAATAATTTATCTAGGGCCCATCTTAACCAGAACACACAGGAAGAGGAATTCTGGGTAACATAGTCCGACATACCAAAGTTAGCACGTTGAAAAGAATGTGAGTGTCAACTGGGCACTTACACACATCTCCTTACAATATGCATAATTTTCAAATGAGAAAATAAGTCACCTTTTCCTAGCATCATGCAACCCTTCTGCTAAATGAAAACACTGTAACCTTTTCCCTGTAAGAGGCCTCCAGTCTTCTCTTTTGTCTTTGGATGATGTTCATTCTTTTCCCAGCTGATCCACACTTCCATTTGATATTATGTAACTTAAACAGTGAGTTTAAAGTAAATTATAATGAATATATCTCATGTCAGGTGACAAATGAATTAGAAAGGGAAAAAATATTTAGTGAACGTATGTATATTATATCAAAATAAGGATGAAATACTCAACTATTATGGTCCTCATTTATACAATTGATCACATAATGATAGCTCATATATATAAGAGTAAAATAATAAAGGCCATTATTTAAAAATTATTTGCATGCAAATTTTGAGCCAGTAAAATGATACGCAAAGGCTATTAAAAATGTTAGCCAGGGAGAGATACATTTGGGTGTTTTTAATTTCTGATACATATAGAACATCTCTACTTTTAGTACTTTATTTTCAGTTATTAATATTAAATAAAATACCGATTTTTCTCTGAGTAAGAAATTACTGGAAATTGATTCTTCTTTTAAATAGATAATTTTCACAATATTTTACTTTCTTATAGGCTGAAATCCTTTTCTTGTAATCTTCATTTTTAATACAAATTAATTTATAAGAAATATTTATTCAACATAGATTTACTTTAATGCAAATCCAATGTCAATATAACTCTTCCAATGATTCCAGCATTCTTATATTTCGTTAGGAAATGAAATTACCTGATATAATCCATGTTGTAATGTTAATTTTTCTTGCTATACAAGTTATATAGCAACTATGAATGGCACTAATAACAACCAATAGTAGTCATGGCTGTAGATATGTTCAGGAACCCAAAAAAAAGAAATGATATTTTCTATTTTCCCACATAAGTTACATAATATCTAGGAAGGGTCTCCAGTTTGGCTTATGCTCTCTGCTCCTTTTGGAACAATCTTTCATGGTCAGAAGCAGTATTGTGGCCAGGCCTGGGTGATGTGTATCTAAGAGGTCAGAATGACTGTATTTTTACTGGACAGAGAACATTTCTCAAAAAGGTAATAGAGAGTGGGGTTGTCCATCAGACCAAACAATAGATGCATTGCAGTGCATCTAGCTTAATGAGTTTTGCTTTATCCCATTATTAATATTCTATAGGTTGGTGCAAAAGTAACTGTGGTGTTTGCCATTAAAAGTAATGGCAAAAACACCCTCCGTATTGTTATTTTCTAGAACATATCCTTAATGTTCTGAATTCATTTAGGTGAGATTTTTATATAACTAAGCAACATTAAGAAGCTCAAGTCAATAGAAAAACCATAGAAATAATCCTAAGTGACACTGAAAAACTAAATTTCTGGAAGCCATATTTTTTGCAAATCATCCTTAACTACATTTTTTTCTCTGACTATAATTATATTTACACACTATAATGCTTCAAGAACCTAGAAAACTTTTTTTTAAAGACTTTATTTCCTTTCTGAATTATGACAAAAATCCAAGAAAGCTCACACATTGCCCTCTCATGAAATTTGATTCTCAGGCAATATTTTAAGGTTTGCACCTTTTTTTTTTTGACATGCTTGCAGCAATCATTTTATTTGAATATCTGTTTCAAATAACAGAAGATAGTATAAAGCAGATTGTATTTTTCACACTTTTGTCTACATATATATATGAAATCTTACTCCTTCCTAAAATAAATCCCATCCTTTGCCAGTTTCTTTAAAATTCTGTAGTGTATTGCTGCTTCATGGCAATGAAGTTCATTTCAAGATTAACCACTGCATTTAAAACACTAGAAAAAGTCCTGAAAAACTTAATGCAGTCTTAAATTTTGAACATATTTCTATAGATGAACATAGTTATAAGCACATTGCACTTAAAAGCTTACAGCACATCTTTAGTTATTGTAAAGACATTAGAATGTACTTCGATTCGTGTGTTTTATTGTTTTAAAAATAAGGCTATTACTTTAGGGAGGGTAAGCTCACCTTACAACATTTGCTGTTGTAAAAGTCTTCTAAAAGTTACCAGTATCACTAATTATCGTTGCCGCATCATTACCAACCTCTCTGTCACATTATACGTGTTTCCCTAAGGGAAACACAGTAAGAAATGATCCATAAAAGTGGTGTCAATAATAGGGTGTATGAACCACTATACCTATATTTGCACAGTAAAGGCATTGAAATAAACCAGATGGTCTCTTCCTTTCTTGAAGGTTAAATTAAATGCATATTTACTTTTCCTTTAATTATAACCTTCATCCTACAGGGCAACTTTTAACCAAAGACATGGCTGCATAATTCACATATAATTTGTCAGGGCAATGAATAAATAAAAAAAAACCACAGTAGCCTGGTGCTGCTAATATTGCTAGGCATTGCACCTTTCTCACAATCATAGATTATTTTTTAATTTGGTTGATGTAAAAGTTATGTGACTTATTTTCTTATCGATATTGAGAGTTTTTTGAGTCTTTAGAACCTTGCAACAGTTGCTTCTGAGAGTCGTTTCACCCCTTGTAGCCTCATTTGTAATATATTTATGAGACTATGAGAACACAGTTTATTTGAGTATACATATAGTTACATGGATTAATCAAGCATACTAGATCATACTAAAAAAAAAGAACTCCACTTTTAAAAAGTGGAATAGTTAAGAGCTTGGGAAACTTCAAATTGACCATATCAGCCCACAAATTTAATTTCTTACCCATGGTTAACTAAAAAGTAAAGAATATGTCAGATATTGAATACTGAATATTGGAAACCTTAATTAAACCTAGTATTGTTCTATGGTGTATTTCTCTTATCAATATCAACATGATAAATCAAAGAACTGATATTTACCAAGCCCTCCTATAATGTATGCATAATGTTAAATGTTTGTTATCTTGATGTTAAAGATCAGCAAACAGGAATTTAGGTTTGTAACTTGTCCCAAATTGCAAATGTCTCTACCCATTATTATATTAATTAATAGATGACAAGATTTTTAAAATAAATGTTAAACAAATTTGACAATACAGTTAGATCATATATGTGCAAACAAAGTGTCTAAAACAGTGTGGGAAGCAAATAAAGGCAACCCATTCACACACAAAAAAACTTGAATTCATTCCTATTTGTAATGCTTCAAGTTCCTGCAGACTTGGAAGTCTGACTATAACTGAGGTTTACTGCTGGGAAGAGGATAGACTTTATGTGTCTTGCTCAGACAAAGTGGAAAATCTCTCAAAGCCCTGTTCTGAAAACTATAGTAGGAGTGGACTTGTGTTTTGGAGATGGAATGATGTGTAATCTCATGTATTATGTTCATTTCAAAGGAATCCCAGTTCAGCTAGCCAGGGTTGTTTGGGTTAAAACTCTTTCATTTATTTCTTCCCTTAATGAGATTAAGACTATACAGATCCAGAGAATGCTACATGAGGCCTTGGCCAATGAAAACTAAAGCAAAACAAAAAACAAAAAACAACCAGACAAACAAAAACATTTATAAGTGCCAAAAGAGTTCCCTAGGGAAGGAAATAACAGCACTTTCTGCCCAGGAGATAATAAATATTTGAGATAGGACCTCACTTTCTCTTAAGTGATTTTAAGACATATTCCTGTAATCCCAGCACTTTGGGTGGCTGATGCGGGCGGATCACCTGAGGTCAGGAGTTCAAGACCAGTCTGGCCAACATGGCGAAACCCGGTGTCTACTAAATACACAAAATTAGCCGGGAGTGGTGGCAGGCGCCTGTAATCCCAGCTGCTCGGGAGGCTGCAGCAAGAAGCATTGTTTGAACCCAGGAGGCAGAGGTTTCACACCGTTGCACTCCAGCCTGGGTGACAGAGCGAGAATCTGTCTCAAAAAAAAAAAAAAGTTATCTGTTGCCTAAATTTTAGGAGGAACATTAATACAATGCACATGATTTCTGATGTTGGGGTCAGGTCCACCTGAAAAATTTTTAAATCTTTCATTTACGTAAGTCACACAAATATATGTATAATTTTGGATGTCGTAATTTAAAACATATTCCTCTAAGGTAGAAGGTATTGGCAAGGAATAGTGAGGATGGAGAGAAATCTAGAAGTTCTGCCACGTAAGAATGTGGTAGAGAACTGAGGTCCTTGCAATGAAGAAATTGAGTAGTTCAGGGTGAATGGGCAAGTACCAGCAGCATTCTTTTTAGGATTTTCTGTGGCTATGAAGTGGGGTTTTTATTGTGATTCAATGATGAAAATGAAACAGATTTCTCTATATAATCTTAGACTTTAAGATTTAATATAACTTTAATTGGTCTAACTTAATAAAACTCCTATGTGAAAATGGCATTATGGCCATAGCTTGAAGAAGTCAAGAGGAAGAAAGAGAATGATGAAGGATGGATAATTTCCAGATGATGGAATGGAAAAATTTGTCACTTTGAAACGTCATCATGTAAACTCAGAGGAAAGAATTGTCCAGTTTATAATTATAAGGTGTAGGAAAAAATGCTACAATAATTATTTATTTACCATAGCCAACTTTCATTCCTTGAAATTTAAAGCAAGCTTTTCTAGGAATAAACCTGCCAATCATAACTGAGACAAGTATAAATATTCATCATTCTAAATATGAAGATATAAAAAGATTAATGTTAATGTGTTCACGTAAAAATGGGTATTGTTATGGTCTAAGTAAGAATATTGTTTTAAGTAGGACATTAATTTCAGTAAATAATATTTCATAAATTTTATTTTCATAAGTAAATTAAGAAAAAGTAGATAAATTAAAAAAAACTCCAAAGATAAGTGCTATAATTGAATTGCATCCTCCCAAATTAATATGTTGAAGGTCTTACTGCAGACGTGACCACGTCTGAAGATAGAATCGTTAGGAGGTAATTAAGATTCAATGAAGCCATCAGAGTGGAGTTCTAATGCTACAGGACTGCTAAAAGGAAAAGATCTCTCTCTTTCCTCTTCCTCCATCCTTCTTCCTGTCATGTGACTGTCATGTGAAGACACAACCAAGAGAGCCATCACCATAAACCATACTGAACCTTGATCTTGGATGTTCCAGGCTCCAGACCAAATGTCTCTCTTTTTTTTTTTTTTTTTGAGACAGAGTCTTGCTCTGTCTATCAGGCTGGAGTGCAGTGGCGCAATATCGGCTCACTGCAACCTCTGCCTCCCAGGTTCATGTGATTCTCCTGCCTCAGCCTCCTGAGTAGCTGGGACTACAGGCGTGTGCCATCACTCCCAGCTAATTTTGTATTTTTAGTAGAGATGGGGTTTCACCATGTTGACCAGGATGGTCTCCATCTCTTGACCTCGTGATCCACCCTCCTCGGCCTCCCAAAGTGCTGGGATTATTTTTTAAGCCATCTAGTCTATGGAATTTTGTTACACAGCTCAAACACACTAGTACAAAGGACAAATTGAATCCAATTCAACAAATTTTTATAAACATTTTATATAAGACATTATATGAAGTGCTAAGAAACTTAAGACGTTACTTTTCATTAAAGTAAAAACACATTATACAATCATACCTGATCTTACCAAAGAAAAGAATAGAAACCTATATAAACATATATGTATATAAGCCTAGAAACATGTAGAAATATGTTGTCTGCACTTGTGTGTGGGATGTGTGTGTGTGTATGCGTGCACATGTTTAAGGAATTCTCACTCTAATTCCTAGCAAGTTTAGCAATAACACATTCATGTTTTATCAAGTAATATATTAAGGGCTGGTGATCATTTTTTCTAATTTTTATAGGATTGCCTTGTAAAAGTCAGGCCTTTAAAACTAGAGTTTGTAAGTAAGAAGAGTCTAGATACAAAACATCAATATTCCTTAGCAATGAAGCATGGCAAGTCTTGAATGTACTATAAATAGCACTAAATTTCCAAATCGTATTGAAATGGAAAACTGCTTAGTAAAGACACTATGTCTCAAACAGAGTCACAGCAAGTTTCTTTTGTTCCACTTAAACCAACTGCCTGAGTTCGCAAATATTGGCTCTTCCTTCTCATTCAAAACGAAAACAGAGGAATGAGGCAATTTCCTGGGTGATTATCACAATTCAGTGCCTCACTTTTCTACAGAGCTGTCAATTATTCTTATTTAATGGAAGTAGAATTTGAAGATGAACACATTTGAGTGACAGTAATATTTCTAAAAATTGCTGAAGAAAAGCAAATTGTAAAGAAAAAAAAAAAAGCCTATCAACTTCATGAGACCCGAAGCAGATCGGTTGCTCTTTCTGAGGTAATAGCAATGCTATCAGTCAAACAGAGCCTTAACTCTAAAAATAACTTTATTCACCAAATCTGTGATAACTACACTCATTCAAAGATGATATCTAGAAAGAAATGTGTTATATGATAATTTATATGAGGCAAGATAGCACATGTTATGTATGAACATATTTGTTTTTTTCAATAAATCTGTAAAATATGGTAACATCTTAAGACCATGCTGATACACTTATGAACAGGCAAATGAGTGTCTGTTCTCTTTGAGTAAAGAAGTGAGGAGAAAACAAAAATCAACAACATATACATTTAAATAATTGTGACAAGAACAATGAATGCTATCATAAAAATCAGAAAAGTTGAGGTGGAAGAGAACAAAGGGAGAGCTTATCTTAAAAAAAGCGATCTGCCGGGCACAGTGGCTCACGACTGTAATCCCAGCACTTTGAGAGGCCGACGCCGGCGGATCACGAGGTCAGGAGATCGAGACCATCCTGGCTAACACGGTGAAACCCTGTCTCTACTAAAAATACAAAAAAATTAGCCGGGCATGATGGCGGGCGCTTGTAGTCCCAGCTACTGAGGAGGCTGAGGCAGGAGAATGGCATGAATCCGGGAGGCGGAGCTTGCAGTGAGAGGAGATCACACTACTGCACTCCAGCCTGGCCGACAGAGCAAGACTCCGTCTCAAAAATAAAAAAAAAAAAGTGATCTTTCAGGTAAAACCTGAATGAAAAATAGAGCTAGCTGTATTAAAATGTGAAACTAATATTCGAGGAATGAGAAAGAAGGAAAAAAAGGGCATAAGGTACCAAAAAATTTGACAGATTAGAGTTCACAGTGGTAAACTTTTTTCTGTGAAGGGTCAATTAGTAGATGGTTTAGGTTTTGCCCTTCTACACTAGAAGAGCAAATAAAAGACAAATAGGAATGGGTTTTAGTTGGTCAAATAGCGGAGCCCAGATTCAAGACAGTCTAATTTAAAAATATGCTGTCAAACACTATCCTACCTTACTTTACAACAATATTTACAATGAGAATAAATAATATTCTGAAATAACATGAAGATACAGATTACAATTTTTTTTCTTATATAGTGTGTTAGTATCTGAGAGGGTTTCTGGGGGCAGGGGGGCGATACCTACACAGAATGTTAGAGGATGATGTCCCTTCATTTTAATCCCTTCTGTTTTAGTCTATTTTAATCTTGAGCCAAAAGCTTCTATCGTTTTTTGTTTTTTTCAGACTAAGTCAGTGAAATACATATATATTGAGCACTTTTGCTATGCCCAGCATTGTGGAAGGCCCTGTACTATGATAACAATACGCTGGAAGACACAGTTTAATGCCCCTGAGAGAGGTATTATGAAGTGGCTATAAGAGCCGATCTTTTGAAGTCAGATTATGCTGGGTTCACATCCACATTGGCAATTCCTTTAGTTGTGTGAACTCAAGCTTATTATTACCTCACATCTCTGATCTTGGTTTTCTTTTTCTCTAAAAAGTCTTAATAAAAAGAAACTCACAAGTTCCAAGTTGAAGGGAAAAAAAAGAAAAGAAAAAAAAACAGCAAATAAGAAACAGCTCTTCACAGTGCCTTACATACACTTTGTTGTGTCCTTTTAATTTAAAAATAAGATATCACCTTTCTGCAGCTGTAAATTAGTAAATAATGTGCACACATAACAAATGTATTAAATCAGGTATATTTGGGACAAAAATATTTGAATATGTAACTCTGATGGAAAAAGTAAAAGTAAGCAGAGAAATGTATGAGGTTTGAGAGATGAAATGAAAATAAGATGCTTCAACATAAGAATATTAGCCCACAAATGTGAACAGAGACATTAGAAAGAGAGAAGGCCGGGCGCGGTGGCTCACGCCTGTAATCCCAGCACTTTGGGAGGCTGAGGCCAGTGGATCATGAGGTCAGGAGATGGAGGCCATCCTGGCTAACATGGTGAAACCCGTCTCTACTAAAAATACAAAAAAAAAAAAAAAAATAGCCGGGCGTGGTGACGGGTGCCTGTAGTCCCAGCTACTCGGGAGGCTGAGGCAGGAGAATGGCATGAACCCGGGAGGCGGAGCTTGCAGTGAGCCGACATCGTGCCACTGCACTCCAGCCTGGGCGACAGAGTGAGACTCCATCAAAAAAAAAAAAAAAAAAAAAAAAAAAAAAAAAGATAGGAACTAACAACAACAGCAAATCTAGAGAAACAAACATAAAAAATATATACATAAATTAAAGCTCCCCCAGGCAGGATACTTTGACTACTTAACTCAAAGACAGCACCACTGAGTCTTCTGTGGCTTAATTTTATTGGCGGTGGGAATGGGAGGTCACTGTATGAATTACTTTTATATCACTGCCTGATATGGCTTGGATCTGTGTCCCCACCCAAATCTCATGTCAAATTGTAATCTCCAATATTGGTTTCTCATGGTTTAACAACATCCACCTTAGTGTTTTTGTGGTAAGAGTGAGTTATTGCAAGATCTGGTTGTTTAAAAGTGTGTAGCATCTTGCTTCATCTTTCCCCTCCTCCTGTTGTATAAGATGTGCCTGCTCACTTTTTGCCATACACCATGATTGTAATTTTCCTGTAGCCTCCCCAGCCATGCTTCCTGTACAGCCTGCAGAACTGTGATCCAATTAAACCTCTTTTCTTTATAAATTACCCAGTCTCAGGAATTTCTTTATAGCAGTGCAAGAACAGATGAATACACTGTCATAACAAATTACTACAAATATTGTGGCATAAATAATGCTCATTTATGACCTCATAATTTTGATGGGGCTTAAATCTAGGCACAAAATAGCAAAGGTAGGTTCTCTGCTCAGTGTGTCACAAGAACAAAATAGAGGTGTTGGTAGGACCACTCTTTTCTTTCTGGAAGCTTCAGGGGAGTCCTCCCACGTGGTTGACAGCCATTTCTTTTCTGGCTGTCAGCTGGGAACCACACTTACCTGCTAGGAGCCACTCTTGGGACTCTTTGGTGAGTCCTTTATTTAAAAACCTGCCACCACACCTCCTGGCCTTCTTACATCACTGTGTTGCATCTTCTTGACTGTTCTGCCTATTTCTTCTATTTGTAAGAGCTCAAGTGATTACAATATCTGAATTACACCCAGATAATCGAAAATAATCTCCTTATTCTAAGGTCTTTAGCTTTGATCACATCTGCAAAATCCCTTTCGCCAAGCAAGGAAATATATTCACAAGTTCAGGGAATTAGGGCATGGAAAGCTTTGGGTGAGTCATAATTCTTTCTACTACTGGGAAAGTAGTAGTAGTATAACTATAGGCATAGTTATATAGATATGTATGTATATGCATATTTATATAGAACTATATATCATACAGTTTTAATCAGTGTTGGAGAATTGGTAGTAATCTTTAGAAAAGTACATGATATTTTCAGGCCACTTCAGTTATGCCATACATTATAATACAGATAAGTGAAGAGTAAAATAAAATTATTGAAGAGACAATTTGTCATAATGGCTTATAACCAGACATGGAAATATCCAGCATGCCTTTGTCACAGGTCGTTGAAAAGGGAAAGAATTATGAAACTCTACCAATGTAGGTTTCAGAGGTTGCACTAGATAAATTTCAATCCAAAGGAGAAATTTATTTAATGTTATGAGGATTTTTAATTGAAGTGATATTCAGGTTTGGGGAATTGTAGATTATGTGTAAGAGAGTGGTAAAATGAGTCTGAGTTTGGGGCTTAAATGAGTTTATATAATAAACCAAACAGATCTACCATCTATGAGCAGAAGGAAATTACTTCAATGGAAAGTAATGAGTTACTCATCAGTTTCCAGAATTAACATGCATCTGATCATCAAAGTCATATCAACAGAGTTGGCCCTGACAATAATATCTATAGCTAAAGTTATTACACAATTTTCTTATTGGTTGTTCAAATAATTTGTCCCAAGGAAGTCTATTTCTTTCTATCCACATCCATACATACCAGAGGAAAAGGTTACTCTGTGTCAGCCATTTCTAACTGGTTATTGATTAGGGTTATTCCACCCACCTTGCTGCTAATGGTTACAGGATTCCATTGGCCTCTGAGCGCACAGCTTCCAATCATTTTCTTGTTATTAGGTATGCAATTTCTATAACAGAATATACTTCTGTAAGCACTGCACTACACAGATCAGCCACCAATCACATTCTCAATGCTTTTGTTTCCTCATTGCCACCATAACACAGTGTCCTCCTGTGCCCAGGAAACACAGTCAGCTGGTGGGTTTCAGATTTTATACAGTAGAGTCATTCTTTTAAGGCCAGTTCTCTGAACTTCTTGACCCATCTTCCACAGTCTTCCACAGGGCTTCTGAAAACTCTGCTTCATTTCATAGGGACTGTTTCTTTAAGTCTCTAAAATGCATCCTTGAAGAATATTATACCTGGCCCCTCATTCTCTTGTTAGCAATTTAAATAATGTGATATAAAAGAGTGACTCTTTTTGACAGACTCGTTCAGTTATAGATTAACTTTTAAATCCCTGGATTCAGAACCATTCCTATGAATATGCTCCATGTTTGTGCCAGTACATATTATTCAGGTTCAGCAGCTACTTTACTATGTAACTCCATTCTTCCTTTAGGCAGGTTCATTGATTTCCCTGCTAAGTCAGACTGAGTTTTCACCCTAATTAGTGGTTTCATTGCCAGGAGTATAACTGGGGCATATAATTAAAAGGGCAAGCATTATCTTGTATGATACTGCCTCATTTGAAGCTTCTGCCTAGTCTTCAAGCAAGCGAAGCAGAGGGCTCTTTCATCTAACGAAGAATGGGCTGTTCCTGCAGATCCATGCCTTTGGAGGATTTTGGGCCTTCCCGTTTCTCAGTCATCGGCTATGATATATTTCAGGTTCTTACTTCTTCTCTGTTCAGGGCCCAGACTTTGGCATAGTAGATTTGCAAAGCTAAAAAATTCAGCCTTTACTGATGTTCTGCTTCTCATAAATAGGACCTGTGTGTGGTGTTCAGCCATTCAACTACAGTAGACGAGGACTTTTTGCTGATCAGGAGGACTTGTGGGTGCCACATTTTTCTTTGCATGCATGATGAATTTCTTTGAGTCTAACATTTTTCTCTTTCAGAATATTACTGGTGCTCAGTAACAGTCAATTGATTGCATGGTCCTAATAATTACTACTACCTATATATCTCTAGTCCCAGCAGTATCATAAATATCATACAAATCAGTACATTCCATTCTGTGTATCTCATCCTAGTTCAACACAGGTGCACATCTTAATGTTTCTACAGCTACAGAATACCAGGGAATATCGATGTTGTACCTACCTCAGTGAAAGTGGCTTTAGTTTTATCCAGCTGGTGAGTGAGCTAAATCCATCAACTCATCTTTAGCATTTCTTCTCTGGGATCGTATATCAAAGGCATCCTTGATCATATCTTTTACTCACTTTTCAGAACTAAACTACGAGCTAATCGTATCAGCCTTATCTTCAAAATGTATCCAGAATCCACCTTAGGTAGTCATTCCTGAAAACAGAGGCTGAAGTAAGGAATCTGGTGTGCATGATTTTCTGAGAAAATGCGCTTCTGGAGAAACCTGTACTTTTTAAGCCCGTATTTTCAGCTGTTGCAAAAGCTTGCAGATGATTACATCTACAGGTCAAGGGAATCAGGTAGAATACCATAAATTCCCACTATAATCAACAAACTCAATCAAACCTATAGATATGAATGCTATGAAAACTTTCACTCATTATTCATGGGAAATTAATACAATCTTCCGTATTGTCTTATACATTTCTTAGAGATGCAACCTTTTGTCTCTGACTTTTCCCTCACTATCTTTGCTTTTTCTTGTTTGGTTTCTCTTTCTTGCTTTTCTTCCAACATCACAATGTGATAAGGTCACAACACTGGGGAAACCTACTCATCACTTATCCATTTGTACTACCCGAGCATGAAATAATAGCCGCTTTTGTATTTATAAAAAATATTTGCATTACAGTTACTGGAGATACTCCCCAGCTTTCCAGTCAGTTGTTTTGTTCTTTGCCATGCAATTTCATCTGGTTTCATGGCTTTAAATATTATATATGCTTAAAAAAACCCAGCTTTATAATTCCACATCTCATTGCTCCCATAAACCCATATCCTTGTATTCAACTCCCTTCTCATGAACACCTCCAACTGGACATCCAAAGAAATTTCAAAACATACTCTTTACCTACCTCCCCCAACACTCCTGCTACATATATTTTCTATGTAAGTAAAGTTTAATTCCTTTATTCCAGGTTTTTAGCCTCAAAACTTGGAGTCATCTTGATTTTCTTCTGTCACCTCCTAACATACAATACATCAGCAAATGTAGTTGCTTTGCCTATCAAACAATAGGAAAAACTTGAACATTTCTCACCACCTCTGCAGTGATCCAAGTCAATATTATCCATCTCCAGGAATACCTCGTAATCACTAACCAACCCTTCTGCTTCCACACTCAACTCTTCCCAGATTGTGTCACTCCTCTATTCTATAGCCCATAATGACATCCTACCTATCTCATTAAAAGTGAAACAAATACATTTTTAGGAGACAAGGTCTTGCTTTGTCTTCCAGGCTGGAATGCAGTGGCACAATCACAACTCACTGTAACTTCTAGCTTCTGAGATCAAGGGATCCTCCTGCCTCAGCCTCCCAAGGGGCTGGAATTATAGGTGTGAACCACTGCACCCAGCCCTCAAAAGCACATTTTGTAACAGACTACAGGCTTTGCGTGATAGACGTTCAATGTGATTAACAGATAATAAATCTAGCATCATGATTTATTTGTTACTTGCAACCCAGGGAACAAGTTTTTTGCAGGGTCTACAATTTCTTGTCTTCATATGTGTAATGTGGAATACATAATTTTACAAAGTAACTACATTGTATTTAAAAAATATATTTATGACCCAAGTTCAACATTGAAATCACATTTAAAGAGAAAATAACAAAACTACCAGTAATTAAGCATTTACATTGAGTCCTTTCAGAAGCCAGCTTCTATTCAACAAAGAAAACAATAATACATTCAAAGCCAAAAAATGTGAGGATTTTTTCTCTTTTATTTTTCCTACTATATTTCTTCCTTTTATCAAATCAGTCGCTATTTGACCAATGTTGCATGTATTGTCAAGTTTACATTAGACCCCAATAAATATCTCCCAATTCCTAAGTAATAGCCTGTAACCTTTCTCTCCCAGCATTTACTATATTACCACTAATAACACATTTTGAAGTTTCAAAAATTTCCAAAGAAAATGAGTCTTAGAAATTTGCTCAAAAGTAGAATACACACAAGTAATATGGCTGAAATTTTAACTTAGAAACTTCATTTGGATCTGGAGCCTGTAACCTGGATTATAATCTTATGCTGACTTTCAAGAACTGAGATGACCAATGGCCATGTGATGATGATCATGACGATAATGATGATGATGATGTGTTTCTGTTTCTCTTATTTTGTGTAGAGCCACTAACCAGTTTTTGAAAGTTTTTAGGAAAAAATCAGTCATTTCAAATTCTTTTTGAAGGAAAATTTGAAGGAAAACACTCCAGTAAGGTGTTTTCAAGTGCAAGCAATATTAAACTCTAGTTCATCTGCTTATTCAATTAAAAATATCTGTAATCTAAAAGGTAAGATATACAGGTCCTGAGTTCAGGGCCTATTTCTATGTTATGATTCCTGCTAGTGACTCTGTCCTGCCTTCTTTTGAATCTTTATCTTCAGGGTAATTTTCCTCATTGTCACAAAGAATCTATCAGCAGCATCCCAGCATCTGAGGTCATACACTTTATCTTTTCTACCTGTGGGAGATTGAGGAAGGCACTTCCCCTATTAAGGGAACAAAATCTTTCAGTTTGAATAGGCCAGCTTAGGTCACATGCCGTTTCTGGATCAATAACAGTCATCAGGAGAATACTAGGTGAGCTTTGGTTGAAAGTCTGTATTCCTGTAATAAGTATTTGGAGTGAGAGTGGGTGGATGTGATAGATATTATTCATTTAATGTGTATTTATTTAGAGCTTTTTGCATGCTGGGGAATGTTGTTTATGTTGGATACATAACAACAATCAAAATTGACAAAATCTCTGCCATCAAAGAGCTTTTCAAACAGGTAGACAAATAAACAAGGCATGTTAATATATAATAGGAAATATAAAATTCATATGCTACACACAATATACTACGGAATGTCTTACATGCACACACGCATGTGCACACTCACACACATGCGTCAAACCCATGTAGAAAAGTAAAACAACTATGCAGACTTAGGTGAGGTGACCCTTGAGCAGAGATCTGAGTGAATTTATTTTTTCATAATAAATAACAGTGCTCTTAAATTCATATGGAAATAGTAAGAGTCAATACAAATTAGGAAAATTCTGAGAAAGGGAAAGCAATAGGTGTGGCAAAAGTTGCCCGACTAGATATCAGTGCTATTTTAAAGCTATAAAATATAAGTAAGTGTGATGTTGCCTCAGGGATAAACAAATAGAGCATTTAAAGAGAATATAGAAATTTATTGACATAATAACAAAGTCAGTTTTGGCACTCCAAGTGAGGAGGAGGAGAGATGGTTCAATAAACACTGCTTGGGAAAATAACTTTTTAAAAACTTTTAAAAAACCTTTATTTTATATTACAAATAAACAAAAATTTCCAATGGATTAAGCGCAACAAATAATATTTTTTAATTTTAGAAAAACTAATATATCAGATTTTCCTTTTTAAATCAGATCATGATGATTTGTTAAAAACAATAAAGTTTTATAAAATTGATTTAGTTACTGATGGACCTTCATTAGGTTAGAGAAAATTGACTTTTTGATTTGTTATGTCTCCTTTTACATACACATGGTACACATTCTCTATTTATGAAGTATTCTTGCAGGTGCTTTCTAGAGTTTTATTTTTTTCTATTAAAAACTTATGCTTTATATTATGTGATGTGTTATATATTATTTCCAGATATATCCTATTTTTTCTATCGTTTGGATTCTTTCTGTCTTAAAAAAAAAAAAATAGGCTGGGTGTGGTGGCTCACACCTGTAATTCCAGTACTTTTGGAGGCCTAGGTGGGGGGATCACCTGAGGTCAGGAGTTCAAATCAGCCTGGCCAACACGATGAAACCCCATCTCTAGTAAAAATACCAACAGGAGCTAGACGTGGTGGTACATGCCTGTAATCCCAGCTACTTGGGAGGCTGAGAATCACTTGAATCCAGGAGACGGAAGTTGCAGTGAGCCAAGATTGTACCACTGCACTCCAGCCTGAGTGACAGAGTGAGACTCCATCTCCAATAAATAAATAAATAAATAAATAAATAAATAAATAAATAAATAAATAAAAATAGAGACAGTGTCTCCTTCTGTTGCCCAGGCTAGAATGTAGTGGTGCCATCATAGTTCACTGACACTTGGAACTCCTGGGCTCTGTGATTGGCTAGGACTACAGGAACACACCACCATGCCTGGCTAATTTTTAGAAGTTTTGGTGGAGATGGGAACTTCCTATATTCCCCAGGCTGGTCTCAAACTCTTGGCCTTAACCAATCCTCCTGTCTTGGTCTCCCAAAGTGCTGGGGTTACAAGCCTGACTCTACCTCATTTTTTATTTTATTTTCAGTGTGGATTTTGCTTGGTATGGGGAAAACTACTCAATTCCTTTGATAGGTTGCATCTATATGTGCAGCTTATTATAATAATCTACATCTTAATTTCTACCTTCTCTCTCACATGCCTTTGTCTTGTTTTATGGCAATAGTCATTGTATTGAGCAAGGCAGGCTGAAAGTTTCCCTTAGCTTGACTAAATATTTAGACAGTTTTTTGTTTGTTTGTTTTTTTGTTTGTTTGTTTGTTTGTTTTAACCTGGACTATAGGCCTCTGAATTTCATCTTTATAGAGGATTTTCTTTAGAAAACGTTGTAAATTTTTTCTCTGCCTCTTTGAGATATAAGCATTTTTAAAAGTCTCTTGCCAGTTTCACATCCCAGGAATGTCCTTCTCATGGACCTTCAGGCCATCCCTTTAAAAGGTTATCATTAGGAAAGATAGAGCCCCTGTTTTCCAGTCATTGTGAGACTGCAGGGGCCTAACTTCCATAGGGGCCAATTATCAAACACAGATGGCTTAATCACAAAGACCAACACCACCCCCACACCAACCCAAAGCCCTCCAGTACCTTTTCATTCACTCACTCATGCTCAGAAACTCTTCTGCTTGCCTTTTGCAATGGTCTTGAATAAAATCTCCGTTGCCTATTGTATTAGTCAGGGTTCTCTAGAAGGACAGAGCTAATAGTATAGATGTATATATGAAAGGGAGTTTATTAAGGA
Organism: Homo sapiens; assembly: GCF_000001405.40. Lineage (NCBI taxonomy): Eukaryota > Metazoa > Chordata > Mammalia > Primates > Hominidae > Homo > Homo sapiens. The sequence goes on along the minus strand of NC_000005.10, from coordinate 25,334,920 downwards.
GAACTGACTCACACAATCACAAGGTAAATATCCACAATAGGCTGTCTGCAAGTTGAGGAGCAAGGAAAGCAGTGGTAGATCAGTCCAAGTCCCCAAGGAAGGGAAGCCAACAGTGCAGCCTTCAATCTGTGGCCAAAGGCCTGAGACCCCCTGGCACACCACTGTTGTAAGTCCAAGAGTCCAAAAACAGAAGAACTTGCAATCTGATGTTCGAGGGCAGGAAGCATGCAGCGTGGGAGAAAGATGAAGTCTGGAAGACTCAGCAAGTCTAGTCTTCCCGTTCTTCTGTCTGCTTTATTCTAGCCATGCTGGCAGCTGATTAAATGATTCCCACCCAGACTGACGGTGGTTCTGCCTCTCCCAGTCCACTGACTCGAATGTTAATCTCCTTTGACAACACCCTTTCAGACACCCCCAGGAACAATACTTTGTATCCTTCAATCCAATTAAGTTGACACTCAGTATTAACCGTCACATCTATTTAACTGCTCAGTTCAATTCTCTTTTACCATATCCATTATTAAGTTGAACAGAAGAACTTATACTAATGGGAAAATTTTCTAGGAGGAAAGGGTTTTATATGTTTTAAAATTTTGGTTAAATAAACTTGTAAATATCATTTGTGGTATAATTGTTTTTTATTCTTTGTATATGTGGGAACTTTTGATTAATAGTTTATTTTTATTAATACATAATTCTACATATTTATGGGTTATGGTGATATTTTGATACATGCATACCATGTGTAGGAATTAAATCTGAGTTACTGGAACATTCATTACGTCAAACATTTATTATTCCTTTGTGACAAAAACATTTTAAATCTTCTAGCTACTTTGAAATATGTAATATATTATTGTTAACTGTAGTCACCCTACTGTGCTATTGAACACAAGAATTAAATCTTATCTATCGGTATGTTTGTATCCATTAACTAGCATCTATTCATCCCACCCCTTCATCCTTCCCAGCCTCTGGTAACTATCATCGTACTACTCTCTACATCCAGATTAATTTTTTTAGGTCCCAGATATCAGTGAGAATATGCAAATTTTGTCCTTCTATGCCTTGCTTATTTCACTTAGCATAATAGCCTCTAGTTCCAGCCATGTTGCTGCATATAACAGAATTTCATCGTTTTTTATGGCTGAATGGTACTCCTTATTTTATACCACATTTTAAAAATTCATTAATCCATCGATGGACATTTAGGTTGATTCCACACCTAGGCTACTGTGAATAGAGCTGCAAGAAACATGAGGGTTGCAGGTATCATTTTTATGCACTGATTTCCTTAAAATTGTATTTTTAAATGGATATTGTTCTATTCAATCATCAAACTGCAATTGATTGCTTAGAAATCTTTGCATATATGTGAAAGCCCTTTGACTGGAGTGGGTATTAAGGAAGTGGACTATCAATTATTTTCATATACAAACAAAATGTTAAAATAAAGGTTCTGAATACATATTTAGGATCCCTACAATAATATTACTTCTTACTAAAGTTAAATATTATAGTGTTCAATATTATACAGAAGGGAAATATGTGAAACAATATTTTTATTATTATATAGTAATCCTGTTATTAGATTAAATTGTATAATCTGATTCTGTGAGTTTCATTAAAATATATTAATATAAAAGTGTAGGAATTAATTTTGTTTAAAAGGTTTCATTATTCTTAAATCAATTAGACTATTTTTGTGGCTTTGGGAATAAAAATTCAACAACCTTTTGAAAAGTTTTTGAGTATAACTTGTCTATTTTATTGGTGTTAAATGAAAATATGTAAGTTTGGAATAGAATTGAAAAACAGTCTTGTGGAAAGTTGATGTTGATGTTTTTCTTTCTTCACTAATCTCCCTGAGAGTACTGATTATGCCAAAAGTGTAGGTTTCACTATAAAACCCATATGAGTTAATGTGAAAAAGAATTGGTGGAAGTGTGTTAACAATACCAAAACCCTTGATAATACAAAAGTTCTTTCTTTCAACATGAAGTTCAAAGGAGATCTTAAACGTAATTATATGTTCATTAATAAATGCAATATAAAATATATTGCCACAAGTTTCTTTCAATAAGTCTTTATTTAGGGGTGAATTTTGGTGGGAGGGGTCAAGGGCATCTTTGACTTTCAATATTTACATTAAATACTCAGTTTAAGGTCCAAGCTTCCTCTATGCTAGAGAAAAAGGACCAAAAGAGAAAAGCATTTTTTAGTTTCTCCATTATTCTGTTTAGCTTTCTAGTAGAGGAAATTAAATTATCAGCAGCAATATGAAAATAACTGCATTTGAACAGAGTACATTCTATTGTCTGTGCAGGACTGGTGCTCAAGATAAATAATTATAGCTTTAAAATAAAACAACTCATTTAGTAAGTTATATTTATGTATCACTTATGTCTCAGGAACTGTTTAAAACTAGATGTGTGTGTGTGTGTGTGTGTGTGTGTTCATCACTCTTCTCAACATTACTATGCAGTAGGTAGTGTAATTTCCCTAATTTACAAGTTACAAAGACAGAATATACATGCCTTGTCATTTGGCTATGAGACATGCAGATAAAATACCTCTAAAACTCATTAAAAACAATGAATTAACACTGCATTTTCATCATCATTTATCCCAAATTCTTATACATGAACTAAAAATATACATTTATCAAATGTCTACTGTGAATCAGGCCCTTATAGGTATCCATGTGTCTATCTATGTATATAGATATAGATAAATAGAGGTAAAATAGAACTACTTGCTTTCACAGAATTTAAATTAACGTGTAATCTGTTTAAGGGGAAGACACAAAAACCAGCACCTACAAATATACAGTGTGAAACTATTAATGCTCGGGGAGTTGCTTCACCAGCCAGAAATCTCTGTGGCCAGTGGTGCATTTGCCGAGTTTTGCTCTAGCCTGCTGGGTTTGTTCCACCCACTTGGCCTGGCAGGCTGCATTCAGCTTCTGCTACTGGTCTGAATCCCATACCTGCCAAGGGCAAGCCAGGCATGGAGTGGACAGGGATGTGTGACTGAGCGTGGGGTCTGGCCACTGCACACAGGTTGCGATGGGGTGGGCAGCTCCAGGCACCAACATGGGTGCCAGCTCACTACAAGTCTGGAGCTGGACTGTGCATACTGTTAGCAGCTTCCATGGCTGGCACTGGGGAATGTGGTGTAGCACTCAGAAGCTTAGAGATGCCAGGAACCACAGAGCCCTAAAGAGCATGTCACAGCCCTGGCTCAGGGACCTCCTAGGTCTAGGCTCCCTGATAGGCTGCAGCTCTTCTCTCTTCTCTCCTTCTGTGGCCTGCAATATGGCATGCAAGGAGCGTGTTTCAGCCCTGTCTGTGTTACAGCTCTTTTAGTCCCACCATTTGGCAGGTCCCCAGTTATTGTCTTGCATCTAGGAAGAATGAGGTACACAGACAAGTGGAGGGTGTGTAAGATGAAGAGGAACTTTATTGAGCTCCTCTCAGAGGAGATCTGCAGTAAGCAGCTCCTCTCCACAACCAGGTGGTCCCAATGAGTGTTAGGCTCTCAGCAGAGAGGGTAGTTCCTTTCTGCAGCTGGTCATCCCATTGTCTTCTCTGCTGTCAGGAGAGAGGAGACCCTGGGGTGGGCAGCTCCTCTCTGCAGTTGATTGTCCCATCTCCTTGAGTCTGGCTGAGTCCTGGGCTTTTATGAGTCTCAGTGGGGAGGAAGTGTTCACCAGTTGGTCCATGGGCAGCCATGGGCAGGCCAAGAAAGGCACCATGAGTCCCCATTCCAGGCCACAGGACTGGCAACCTGGTCTCCATGCATCAGGCCCTCCCTGACTTGAAGGTGGGGCTTTTCCGGGGTCCCACCCCCTTCCACCCAGGTGCCTATCTGCCTCCTGCTGATGTTCATGATGCCCAGGCTGTTAATACCAAGGGTCACCTGCAGGCCAGCACCAGGCTGTCCTCGGCCCCCCAATCTGTCTCCCTCCTGTTCCTATCAATGCCTAAAGTCCAGAGGCACTGAGGCAGCAGGAGCCTGGCATGTCAGTTATGCCCTGGGTGTGCTCATACCCAGTCAGGTTGCAACAGTGCCTGGGTTTTTCTCCAACTTTGTTCTGAGAATGGAGTGGGCATCAACAACAGGGAAAAGCCAGGCAGCTGGAGCAGGCACTTCTGAGTCCGTGGGGGCAGGAGGTGGCCTTCCCAGGCCCCTGAGAGTACAGAGATGCCTGGATCCACAACCACTCCCGGGTGGCTGCAGCTGCACCAGGGAGCTCCTTCCCCACCAACTTGGAAGGGGAGGGGTTCCTGCTTGTCCCTGGCAGCCACTGGCTCTGTGAAACTTGCAGCCCCAGATGTGCATCCTTGAAGCCTGCAGCAGGGACTCCAGGTCCTTGCTGGGCCTTGGCCAGTGTCCAGGGCAGGGGTGACTTCACCGTGAGTTTTTCCTGTGGCCCTGGCATTCAGGGGCTGCCTGGGGTTCTGCTTCACCTGGCTCATGGCCCTTCCTAGGGGACATCTCCAGGAATGGATCTTGGGCCCTGCCCTGACTGTTGGGAACATCAAGCTCGGTGGTCACGTGGATGCAGGGTGGGTCCTGGGTGTGCAACCTCGAGCAACCCCACACAGAGCCTTTCCCCGAGGTGCAGGAATGTGGCTCAGCTGGTGGGGTGGGTGCAGTGGCAGCATCACTGGCTGGGTCCTCAAAGCAGGCACCACTGCTACTTCCTGCCATGGGCCTCTGAAGCATGGGCCCAGATCTGCATCTTGGGCCCAGTCCCCATGCTGCATTTGCAAGCCCGGCTCTGCCCCAGGCCAGCTCCACTTTGGGGCCCCTCTCTGCCTACTCCTCCATGCCTGACCATCCTGCTCTTTTGCTGGCAGGCGGCTTGGCCTGGCACCATTGTAGCAGCTCTCAGGGGCAGGTTCCCAGGGTGGTGGGTTTCAGGGCGGCTCCCAGGGGCAGGATCCAGGAACTGCCTCCCTCAACATCTGTACCTGAGGACCCACAGCCTGTGCCTGTAACCCACTGCAGCTGGTGTCATGCCAGTGACCACTTCAGACCAGCTGCCACTGCCATCAAGCCCCTCTCTCAAGAGGTACATCTAACTGCCATTAGAATAAGGACAATTACAACTCTTAACTGCTTCATGCTGACAAAGGGCGTTGTTTTTGGGGAAAACAGCAGTCAGAGCTCCTCTCAGGGTACCCAGTAAAAAGGGAGTCATTGTCCGAGACTCCAGTTTTATGACTGCTTGGATTTTGATGGCCCATCCCTTTTGTTTCTTCTGAGCTGCAGTCAGGGGTCACTGGTTGGTTCACCTCACAATTGACAAAAGCTGTAAATGGCTCAAAAAAAAAAGGTTCTCTGACTCTGAAAAACAAAACAAAGGATCAGCAATGTTCCAAACAAAAAGTCAAAAGTCAAAAAAGATTACTTCTGTCTTCCACTAGTTCAGTCCACCCAGTCAATACTTTTTCACAATTTCCAAAGTTATCAGAAGCATGCAATGGAGTACTATAATCCATCTTTTGAGGAGGATCAAAACAAGACAACAATTTTCTGTGAATGTCAAAATGTCCTAGAGTAGTTATAGTCAAAAACACTACTGACAAAGAAATTTGGTCACCTCTGCCGTCAAAATCACTGGGGCATCTTCAGGAGTCCAGTGAAATAATCTACAGATGGACATATTTGAAATTCATTGTGGCAAATCTCCTTGTCCCTTATTCTCCTTACCACCCAAAACAAACAAAAAGAATACATAATAGAAAATAGAAAACAGCGGGTTATTCATTGTATAATCTGAGGGGGGAAAGTTTGCACCACTCACGCAAGAAAGAAACATGAAATACGTTGTAGGTGATTTCATTTTCATATTTTATGCTTATATTATCTTTGAAATTGGGGTATTTTTTCAAAACCAATTATATATTTTAGGAAAATGGATATACATTGAGTAACATGTGAATTGAAAAAAGCTGTATTGTAGAGGCATTTGTGTGTGGCCAGTCTCAAGGCAACACATGAGTCTGAATATGATTCTATGATATCTGCAAGAACGGACATGGCTTCAAATGTAACACACACCAATTCCAGAAATCTGTTACAGAAACAGTTAATTATATGTGTGATTTATTTAAGAAATTTAATGATGTAAAGAAATTAAAAAGTACTCTACACTTATCACAGTGAGTACATGGGATTCGACATAATTTTTTGATCAGGCATCTGAAACCAAAGCTTTTCTTTTAAACCTCCAAACGCACTGACTCTGCCCCTTTGAATTTGTAAGCCTGCCACATGTAAATATCACTGAACTTCTCACAACATTTGACTCTTCTGAATTTAAAGGAAAGGGAAAAAAAGCTAAAAATGACTTTTACGGATGTATTTTACTTTTACCAAAAGTTTCCAGAGTTCCTTTATCTTTGCTCTGCTTTCTGTTTGTTAATTTATCTCATATAAACTTCATAAAGAATAATTTTTTACATTAGTTTCTATCTAACCCTAAATGCGACCCCCTATCCTGAGATTATGCTTTTTGTTTTTGCTACCCTAAACAGAGGATTCTTACCTAAACAGAGGAGTGACTCATAACTACATAGTATATGAAAAAGAAATAAATAAAAATATAGTCATTTGAACGTATAGGATAATACTATTGAAATGTTAAACTGTTTAACATTTTAAACAGTTTAAAAATTAAGACTGTTGAATGTTATAAAGAATGCCATAATAGAAACGGTATCTAAAATTTTGTATATGACATGAGAGAATGAAAGAGATACCAGCATATCTATTTTTTACTCTGGAGGGTCATGCTTTCCTCAATACAAGGTTGAAAATAGGAATCATTCACATTTCTAAAGCTATTTCCCACTGTTAAAAATCAATCAAAAGAATAAAATTTCTAACTCTGGTGAGACATCATGCCATTCATAACTATAATATTCTAAAGGAGAATCAAATCTGAGACTGTTTCTTTGAAATGGCTGGTAAAAGGTCACACATTGGTAGTAGAAGAAAGGTTTAAATTTTTTAAAGAATATATTATTTATTAATTATATTTATTTGTTCTAGAATTTTGTATTTCTAGATTGCCTATTTGAAGAACAAATCTATTAGAGCATGCTTAACACAAAACAAAAGTAGACAAAAACCGAATCATCTCTTGCACATCAGGAAAGGGCTGTAAGAACGTGTAGTCCCCAAATCAAAAGGGAGTTCACCTTAACGGAGTTAACAGGATCCCCAAAGGCCCGGATTTTCAAAAGCCATTTTATTTAAAACTGACAGAAAAAATTTCAAACAGATATATTTAAGTATTAAAAGATAAAATTATGACAAATTTAGTTACAGATTTAATTGGCTTTTATTCATGCTTCATGAATCAAGGTAGCCTCCATTCTACAAAAGAGAATGAGATTTCCCTCTGGGCAAAGGCAGAACAGTGGGTTTTGCAAAGTGGGAACAATGGGAAAAAAGTTGATTGATTAATATCAGGTCACTTCAGGTTATTTTTCTTGTAAGGATTGAAACAAAGGGGAACTTTCTCATTACGCTGACTCAGCTAGAGTAGAATCTCCTATTTTCAGGAAAAACTGTTTCTGTTTTAGAATCTATCTGCTTCCCTAATTTTTCAGTTAGATTACGTGACACTTAGCATGAGTGAATCCATTTTGGTTTGGTTTGGTCCACTGGAGCCCAGGCAGGCACACAGTTCAAAACAATGGGATCACATAATTTTGTTTAATACATTTTTTTTCAGAAAGATGATTTTTGATTTTATACTAGGAAACATGATTTTTATATACAGTGTATATTTTGATATATAGTAAATTATTTTCCCAGTAGAAAAATAGTAATAAAAAAACTAAAATAAAATATATATTTAGTACCTGTAGAATTAACGTAAGTACATATCCTTAACAATCACCAAATAGAAACCCTTTTGTTCTTTAATGTCACACTTTGAACTGACATGGATAATTGAAAAAGTTCATTCTTTCTAGAAATAATAATGTAGTTATTATGCATATTCTTACACCTTCCCTATAGTTAAAGTACATACAATTTATTTCCCTAAGTAGACTATAAATTTTCCAAGAATACAGAAACTACTACATATGTTACTACATCCATGACAGACTTGATCATCATCATCACTGTTAGGGATGGACAGGCTTTGGTGTGGTCCAAGTGAACACCAAAATCTCAGTGGCTTTCTGGTATAAAGGTTTATTTTCAGAGGCCAGTGTTGTTTCCAGTAGTAACTTAGGGCTCTGGACTCTTTGTGTTTTCGATAACATCGTCTTCATCATTTGCTTTCCCAGGTCCCACAACAGGGCAAGAATGACAGGAGGTGTGCACACAGATACATTTCAAGGCAGGCATGGTGGTGTCTGCCTTTAGCTCTGCTCACATCTCATTGGTCCAAATTCAACTAGAGTCCCCAAGTCGACAGCAAGGGAAGCTCGGCAACGTGGAGCAGCCCGTGAATGTTTGGAGAATCCTACTCATTTCGCCACAGTTATTCTAATCAATTAAATAGAAGATATGTGTTTGACCTTAACTAATGTCAGGCTCTGTTCCTGGTGTTACATCTATTAACCCACTAATCCCCACTTAACTCTATGACATAAAGACATTTACAACCTCATTTTTTTTTGGTGCAGAGATGGATAATTATATTACAAACCAATTGAAATCTTAAAACTTTGTAGCTTTACATAAGGAAAATATATTGGTTTTTTACATCATTGTGGGTTCCACCTGGTGCCAGAAAGTTTCTTCCCTACACAGTCATGCAGGCTCATTGCCATCTTCCATCCTGTAGACTTGGCCTTGCATATCCTCAGAGTTCTTTCCATTTTATTACATATTGATGGGGAAGAAGAACACAATTATGCATAGATAGATTTTTATGGGCCAGGCTTCGAAGTGTTTTAACTACTTATGTTTACCTTTCACTTGCAGGGACTATTTCCTGGATTGTTGTGAACGTATATGGGATGAGGAATATAAGTAGACTCTATACTCACGAACAAAAGGAAAAAATGGGTAGTGATGAGTTCCAGCAGTTGTCACACCCCACATTGTAGAGAAGAATCAAGAAAGAGAGAGCTTAAATAACAGCTTGCTTAAGTTCACACGGAAAAATGACAGAAAAAGAACTTGAACCCATGTAAATTAGCTTCATATTCTTTGTTCTTACCCACTTTGCTATACTCAATGCAAAATTTTCAATACATATTAACTAGTTGAACGACTGTAGAATAAATAGGTAATTTATTCCAAAATTTAGAACACAGATTTTTTTTTCTCAATAGACCATTACTGGGTGGTTGAATCTAGAGAAGATAATTTTACTCAGATGTTTGACGTAAAGCACTGTTTTTGGCAGTCACTCATTGGCATCTTAAGATCACTAGTAAAGTATAATCAAGGCACATTGTAATCTTTCATTACTGGGAAAATTTTTTGTAGATATTCAGTTTTATATCAATAAAGTATTTCCATTCCAGATTTGATGAGTAGCTGTGCAGCCTTGCATCTGTCCCTTCAGCTTCCTGATCTTCATCTTTATCTGTTCTAGCACATACCCTTCAGTATACAAACAGGCAAACTTAGGGTTAGCTCTTATTTTCTCTGATCAATTTTAAAAGTCCTTACAGAGCACAGAAACACACACAAAAAAATTCTAATTATTATTGAGAAAAAATAACAGATGGTGGATTATCAAACATTTCTGTCTTAGCTTTAGAGAAAACTATTGTAGGAAGGTATTCTCCTGGAGGAAACCTGGAGAAAATGTGGATAACTTTCACATGGGATAGGATATAATTTTTGAAACAGCTTTATTCATTTGCCTTAACTGGTAGTGAAAGTGCTATACTGCTAATGGTCGGTGAATCTTTAATTACAGATAAATGTTCATGTTAGTATCTGTCCTCAGGGCAAAAATGCAAACACATATACACCACTAGAGAAGCAAAGAAATGAATTTATGCTTTAATGAGCTGTGGAGTCTTATTATTCGCTTAATATAATATGACACTTTGACTCTGTACTGGAAACGAACTGGGAATATGAGGTTCAATTTGTACTCAGGGAAATTGTTTACTCCGAAACAATTTAGCCAATGATTAATCGTTATTTTCTTTCATATCTTGAAGACTTCCTTTCATTGATTTTTCTATCTTTAATTAGTTTAAAGTAATTATTTAAAAATTCAACATTAATTTTGCCTCTGTTCTGGAGAGAAATTATTCATGAAAAAAATCACATTAGAGTTGTCATTTCACTGTGACACTATGTATTTTGCTATCCAGCAAAATCAGATGTAAAATCAGATGTAATAATTGCCCCAGATGCTAATGACCTCTCCACCTAATGAAGTACTTTTCATTATGTCACATTGACTGATTTAACTGAGCATTTAATTCATAGTTTGTCACTCTGATGGTTGCTTAATGATTTATTTATAGCCAATCCTTACACGAAAGCTAGAAGGTAATGTCAATTTAAATGAGATATTGAAAATCAAATATTTCCAAATATTAAATCAAATACATTTAATAGACATTTTATTTTCATTGCCATCGTTTTCATGTTTATTATTGTCGCTTACGCTGCAAGTGTGATGCATGTAGAAAGAAAAACATAATAATGGCCAATGGACTTACGGTTTGACAAATGAAACTTACATTTATTACTATCATAAAATAGAAAATTAAATGTTATTTTAAGGGCCACAATTATTAAATAGCCAATCAAAATTTTATTTCTCTTACAAGGTAACATTTAACCTTTAAAGTTATAGTAGTAGTTCTATAATATGGATTATTCTATGGAACTGCAGAGAAAAGGAAACATTTTTCTTCTTCCTGAGATTTGCAACAGTTATATGGGCTTGCAGCTGCAAATCTAAGTAAAGTCCTGGAATCACAGTAGTTAGCACTGAGATAGAAAATCAGTTCCGGAAAGCTAAAAATTAACAATAAGGATGAGAGTGAATATGATAAAAAAGATAACGAGACATTTTATGTTTTATACATTGCAGAGGTATTATCATCTCCAGTTCTAAATCTAGGAGAATAAAGTATGTGGGTTTAAATATATTTATTCATTCAAAATGTATTTTATTGAGTTCTAGTTTTCAATAGAGACTGCTATGAAGTGAGAGTTATAGCTATGATAAAGTGTACTCATTCTAACCTTGGGTAGCAACATAAAATTAAAAACATCTCCCAAAATATTTACTTACTTTAAATTGTATGAAGTCCCCAAAAGAGAATTAGAAGGTGCTATGAGATATAAAACAAGAATTTGATCTTGCATGCATGTCAAGGAAAGCATTCATGAAGAACTGCAATTTTAAAAGTCACTTGAAAATGTGCATACTTGTTTAATTATGTATGCATAGGTAAATATGAGAAAGAAAGAGAGAGAGATAATGAGGGAGTAATAATTTGAGAATGTATAATACCATACTACTTTTTTGTCTGTATGGCAGAATGGAGAAAATGTCTTGGACCAGGGGAAAATACTTATTGTCTTTTCATACTGTAAATGTTTTGATTTAACTGTCTAGTTGAACAGCAGGAAAGGATTTATAGATAAAAACTTTATATTTGTGAAAGTACTGTATTGATGTTCATTCACAGAACAAATGAGTTAATCTGTAAAGTATTTTTTGGGCCAGGCATGGTGGTATCCCAGCACTTTGGGAGGCTGAAGTGGGAGGATAACTTGACGCCTGGAGTTCGAGACCAGCCTGAGCAACATAGGGAAACTCTGTCTCTACAAAAAGTAAAAACACAAAAGTAAAAAAATAGCCAGGTGCATGTCTGTCGTACCTGCAGAAGCCCTAGGAAAGCTGATGTGGGAGAACTGCTTGAGTTTTTGAGGTGGAGGCTGATGTGGACTGTTTGCACCACTTCATTCCACACTTGGCAATAGAGTAAGACCCTCTCTCAAAAAAATGTTTATCTACATAGATATGGATATAGATACAGATACATACATGTATATACACACTATATAGATATATATATCTACATATATAGTCTAGCTATCATCTATATAGTTTTTGAGATGCATAAAACAGAGTTTTAAATGCTGAAATCATCATATATGTATTTCTCATTTCATATCTACTCTGGTTTACAGTTTAGTGTTTTCATGCTACTTAAACCATCACACTTACTATTTCTACTTTATAATTACCTCAAATCTCTATTTCAGTTGCTGAATCTTTTCTTACATTTTTCTAAATTCAACTGCTGTCCCATTTCTTATTTGAAAGCCATTGAGTATTTTAACACATTGCATCTTTCATCTTTCACTATTTTTATTACTTTTACGTTTGATAAATTTTTGTCAATACCATTACCTCCAACTACACTATTTTAACACATATACTTGACAAAACACTGATTATTTCCTTACACCTTGCTATTTGCAAGCTTATTATGCTCACTTATTCATGGTCACTTTGTCCATAATATATATATATATTTCAGTAGCCTAGGAAATTTTCTTGGTACAATGTAACCACTCAATAGCAATGAATAGATCTCAGAACTTAAATTCATAATTTTATTCATTGATAGAAGATAAATATTATAAATCACACAATATATGGTAACATTATTATTTTCTGGCATAGAGAAAGACACAGTATAAAAATGTTAGCAACTGAAGAGGCCATAACTTGTCATGATAATATAAGAAAATCATCAAATTTTCAAATGTTAAAGTTGAACATATAAGAAAAAGTATAGCCTTAAAAACATATTATTTTAACTAATTCTAAGTCTCTCTATCCCTCTTTTTATTTATGCTAAAATAATTTCCATTTTTCATCCTCTGTCTTCTTACATTCTTTAATTAATGCTCTAACCAAAAGATGGTAACTTTTATGGTTCAAGCAAATATATCCTGCTCTTTCTCTCCCCCAAACTACATTATTTTTGTCTTTATTTGTTAAATATATCTATAAGCCACACGTTATCATTTTTTAGTTTAAAATAAATTTGAAATATTCTTTCAATATTTTTCCTCATAAGCTTAAAGACTTTGTTTTCCAAGTGAAAATCCTGCTATTGGAAAATATCCAGATTGTCTTATATTTGCTGTTTATATTTTCAAGAAACAGCATTTTTAAGATAATTTATAAGCAAATATTATTTATTTATAAATACATTACAACTATAAATATTTTATATTATAAAATAAATATATTAAAATATTATAGACTGTTTTAACACATCACAGTATATTTTTATATTTGTCAAATTGTATTCCTTCACATATGTGTGGATACCTCTTGCCAATTATTTGTTCAAGTATTTGAATATTCTTTAAATTCTATAGTAATTATTGTAAGGGTTGGGTTTGATTTTTGTATATTAGTAATGAATGTTGAAATGATCAAATGTTTTTAAATAATTTATTCTCTCTTCTTAATACTTACATATTTGGCGAGATATGTCATTAATATACTATTTTGATTTTAGAAAATTAGAATTTGTAGTTATTTTTTCCCATGTGGGTCACTTTAAATGACAAAACATACGTAACTCTTGAACATTTGAAATGCTTTAATAAATAAAACTCATATTTGTATAATTTACAAAAGACACATTTAACACTGTGATCATATTTTTAAGTCATTAATAATTATTTTATATACATTTATTAACTCAAAAATGTACATTTTCCTAAAAGTTTTACCCATTTAATTCTGTTTTTCGAATCTACACACAGTTGTATATATCTATGTGAGATCTAATTCTGAAGTCCTTGCATAGTTAAGAAACATTATTCAATGCCTTCTAGTCTTTATGACTTTAGAGGACACTTCAGATTCTGATATTCCTGGTCCTTCTTCCTGTAACAGTCAGGCAGGGAATCACCCATAAGTAAATGTGTATTGAGTCACTGTGTATGACAGTCCTGTTCTAGGCACTGAAGACACGGAGGTAAAGCAAGGGACAGTAGATTTACATTTTATTTGAAATTATAAGATTATAATAAAAACAAGTGAATAATAAAGATAATTTCATGCACTGATGGTAATTAAAAAATGATAAAATAATCATATGTGATTGGCAAAATAACTTCTAGCAAGTGGAAAGGAAACAGCTTCTACACGAGGTAATCTTTATTTGTGAATAAATGACAAAAACGAGGAATTCATGCATAAATCAGGAAGACGAGCTTCTAAAAGAAGAAATGTGCAAAAGCTTTACGATCAATGTGAAGAAAAGAGACTGAGAGATAAAGGTGACAACTTTAGCAGGAGATTACATTGAAAGGTGGCTTTGTCAAAATTACACACTATTCCAAGAAATCTGCCACCAATCCATTTTCTGATTTAGACATCTGACCCTATATGATCAACTTCCAAATCAATTTTGGACTTCTTCTATATTTCTCCTATCTATCTGCTTTTTTTGTGCTTTATTTTTACAAAATATTCCATTCAAATACCATTTCAATAATACGTTAAAAAATATTTCTTCAATGCACCTAAGACTTTGAAGACCACCTAATAATGCTTGAAGTAGACGAAGCTGATCTCCCTGAATGTCTTCTCAGATTTTTGGTAAGAACGTTTATATAGCCATCCAGTGATAAAGGGGAGGTTTTCCAGATTCCTCTTTGTGTGCATCCTTTACTTTCTGATTTGAGGAGATACTGCTCCATAAATTCTGAGATCTTCTGATCCTTTAGGGAAATCAGAGCATGATTTTTGAGATCCCACCTCTTGTCTTCTTAGATATCTGTGAGTTCCATACACCATTTCTGGTCTGATAATATTTATGATATCTAAAACTTATCTAATAACTTTTTGAAGAGCACATACATCCAGGTTTCAAATATAGTTTATACAGATTCCTTTATATATGTTGAGATTGGACTTTAAGTTTTTACTTACTGGTTAAATTTACCCAGACTCTCCTATAAAAGTTTAATTTTTCTATCAATTAAATCTCTTTCTTAAGCCAGCTTAACTATTCGCTCTTTTCATATTTATTTACCCACATGTTCTGACTGTAAGGCTAACAAGTTTTATTTTTACTTTTAATTCTTTCAACAGTTCTATTTTTCTTTATTTTCCTGAAGAAACTTAGTTTTAAGAAAAACAGTATTAATGATGAGCTTCTTTATACTTGAAATAATTTTATAGATGTTGTTGTTTCTCTACTTGATTGCAACATTATAATGCTGTTTCTGCTTTCTAATATACGTTTTGTCTTAATAAAATATACCACCTTCCAAAGGAAAATCTACAGTTTAGATTTTCAAATTTTGAGTCCTTCCCATAAATTAAACATTTAGCTACAAATGGTAGTAATGGGTAGGGGTGGGAGTTTAAACTTGGATCACCTGATCAAGTACTGTCAACTTAGGTCTTATTCTAAATATTTAACGACATATTCTCACTTGTCATGCGTAGAAAACAAAAATCTTTGCAATTTAAAGGCCAAGACTCATATAAACATTGCTAAGAAATATAGTAAAAACAGCAAATAACATTCTAATGTAATATCTAAAATGCCTGTATAAAGAAAGGATGATAAAATAAGGCAGAATTTACATCTGCTAAAGCTAGAGAAGCCCATATGTGTTTCCAAAGCTCTGCAGTAGAAGCTCTGCCTGTGTGTAAGGAGTTCCTCTCCTACATTAAAATTACCCACCTCTCGCCTGAGGACAAACTACTGCACATTGGACAGATCTGCGTCAAAAACTTTTAAAGCCCATATGGTGGGAATTAAGACTTAACACGTGACCCTGTTAAATAACAGTGAAGTTAATTTGATCACTAATTTTAAACCTCTGTTTCTCAAGATTCCTGATCTCAGAGCCCAGATAGTTATGAACGGCAAGGATATAGCATAACACTTCCCTGTCTCTGTTCAAGTTTTGGAACAGCTGAGTGCTAGATAGAGACAGAACACAGATTAAGATCAAAATGGTATCCTTTAGTCTGATTAAAAATATGTTGGAATACATGGCTTGGGAGTGAGGACAAAATGAGCCATGTTGACATTACTTCTTCCCATTCCTAACTTTCACAAGCAGCTATTACTTCTACATCCTACATAGCTGACCCAGTCCTTCAGGGTTTACTTATGTCTTTAAATCTGTCCAGTGTTTCTTTTAAGAAAAATTTTATTTTATCTAACTTAAGTAGGACAAATTAATTATCTGTGTTCTATCCTAAATACTTATTATTTCTCTTTAATTTTTTAAATTTTCTCTTCTGAATACAAAGTCCTTTTTTGAAATTTATTTTATAGACTCATTCAGCCTTTTAATTCATCCAATGTCATTTTTTCTGTTTTTATTTATAGTAGCCTCATTTGTAATTTTTCTTCTATTCT
This sequence comes from Homo sapiens, assembly GCF_000001405.40. Lineage (NCBI taxonomy): Eukaryota > Metazoa > Chordata > Mammalia > Primates > Hominidae > Homo > Homo sapiens. The sequence goes on along the minus strand of NC_000005.10, from coordinate 25,318,541 downwards.
TATAGCTCCATGTATAACATACTCAATTACAATTTCTTCTTTATTGTCATCATACTTTGTATTTCATCAAGGATCAATAGCATTTATTGACTATAATATTTTATAATTTCTTGAAATATTTTATTAAAATATACTTTTATTTCTGTTAAAACCACTTATTAACTTCCATTTTTGTATATTGGAATTTTTATATATGCTTTTTTTGTTATTTTTTCTTGTTTCTTCATCTTTGTTTGTGGAGTCATAGCTACTTAGTTTTTTTGTTTTCACCAAATTGTGTAGGAGGTATCTCTTTAAACATATCAATGAACATCAATTTAAGGGCCAGATGATATTAATTTTGAGTGCCGTTCAGTTGTTCAGCAATCTAAGGGAGCTAGTGAAGAAGCTGACTTGTGCGTAGTCAAAGGTAAAATAAACTTTCTGTTTCTGGACAGTGACCTGCCTCAACTCTCATTTATTTATCCAACCAACAAAACCTTGTCAAACTATGAATTCTTCCAGGATATCTTCTATGTGCTGTGAAAAATCAATTGAAACAAACAAACAAACAAAAAACAACACTTACATTCTATTGAGAAGACGTACAGTAAATAAAAAGATAAAACATACTGAATGTTGGGGTAAGTGATGAGGAGCAAATGAAGCAGAAAGAGTACGTGGTTCTCATAGATGTTACCTTCAAAGACAGTGACAACTAGGTTATCTATCTTACATGTGATGATGTTACCACCTTGCCATTAAAAGTAGTATCTAGGTGACATTCTCTTGAACCTTGGTGGACTTAAAACTGTTTTATTCAAAAGAATGCAGTTGAACTGACAATATGTGGCTTTGCAGGTAGGTTCACAATAAACACTTCACTTTGCTCATTAGTACACTAGCTTTTGGAGCTCTGTGCCCCCATCTAAAAATTCCAATTATCCTACAATTTCTATTTGGTGAGTAAGCCCAGGGCATGTGTAGATCATCTGATTGAAAATCCCTTCTGAGGATCCAGTTGAAAGCCAAATATGTGATTGAAGATATGGCCAGATAGTTTCGTCTTCTTGCCTTCAAGTCCCCACAGCCATAGATAAACTATTCTATTCTTGGTCTTTCCTAATTCTTGATCCAAGGAATTTGTGAGCTTAACAAAATGACAGTTTTATATTCCACCATGTTTTGGGATGGTCTATTACAATAGTAACTAGAAAGTGAGATTTTACATTTTAGACAGGATGACCAGGGAAGGGTGATATTTATGTAAAGTTTGAACTGCCTGTTAGACATTCAAGTGGAATTATCAGCAAAGAGGAGATTATTTGAATCTCAAGTTTAAGGAAATGTTTCAGATTCAAGGGAAGACTCTAGTGATCATCTGTTGGGAAATACGGCATAAAAGTGAAGCGTATTAAAAGATCTACTACTCTCAGTACTATTCCACATATTCAGAAAAGAAGTATGCTTTCCAACTTCTAGCATCTTCTTTCAATTTTATCCATGGAATGCTGTTGGACATTTCACAATTTTCAACATGTTCTACACATCTTAACAACGTGAATGATTTTTCATTGTACCTTTATTCTTACTATTTAAGTTTCAATGTCAGTTACGTCAGAAAAAAGAGTGAAATTATTATTATTACTTTATATTTTCCACTAAGTTGCATGTTTTCTGGGTTATAATTGTCTGTACTTAATGCATATCATTAGATATTTTCAAAGTCTGTCTTATTATAGCTTTTTAGGCTTTTCCTGTTGTAAGCTACACTGATTGTTATGTTAATTGGGTTCTCACTGCCAAGCTGTAAAAGTTCCCACCTAAGCTGTAAGGTTTTATGATGGGTCAATAGTCAATTATTTATGCTGGAATTTATAGTTAATTGTGAGGCCTTCACACACCACAATCATGCAATTAATATTCAGCACAGAAGCAGCAGTAAAAGAAGGCTAACAAACCACAGTATAGTTTAGAGGCAGTAGCAAAAGGAGGCTAACAAACCACAGTGATAGTAAAAGGAGGCTAACAAACCACAGCACGCCAACAGACTAGTCCAGTGGGTCCTGAAGTCCTTTGAATGCAGGTCAGTGAGTTGGTCACTGCTTCTCTCCTGCAGAGTCTTTGGTAACAGCTGCTGAGGTTGGAAAAATGCCTCAGAGTTCTTTTTTTTTTTGAGACGGAGTCTCGCTCTGTCGCCCAGGCTGGAGTGCAGTGGCGCGATCTCGGCTCACTGCAAGCTCCGCCTCCCGGGTTCACGCCATTCTCCTGCCTCAGCCTCCCGCGCAGCTGGGACTACAGGCGCCCGCCACCACGCCCGGCTAATTTTTTTGTGTTTTTTAGTAGAGACGGGGTTTCACTGTGTTAGCCAGGATGGTCTCGATCTCCTGACCTCGTGATCCGCCCGCCTCGGCCTCCCAAAGTGCTGGGATTACAGGCGTGAGCCACCGCGCGCGGCCTGCCTCAGAGTTCTTATGGGCAGAGTCTCCATAGGTATCTCAGACAAGGCCAGGATTTGGCTGTTTTTGTATCTTCTGCAGGTTGGTCTATGCACATTATCTCAGCCACTCTTCATTTTCTATGGTGTGTTTCAGGCCTCCTATGGTACCAGGAAAAAGTGGGTGTTATCACCTCAGTCCATTACACAAATGTTTTTCATTTTGAAGAAGGGGTGAAGAACTTCAGTGTGGGCTCACTGCTACTTGACATGAATGACTTTATTTTGATACAGGATCACAAACAATTATGATATATCACCTCCATACATTAGCATAATTGTATATATTCATATTTTCTATTTAGAACAAAATATCATTCTGAAGAAATAAAAATTGAGATAAATAACATATTATATATTTCTGTAACAGTATAATATGGAATGATTATGGATTATGATTATTCCATTTCATGGGTTACTTTATATCAACTACACTGTTTTTTTTTTTTTTTTTTTTTTTCCTAACTTGCCTATGTGAGAGCAGGGTCTTAGGCTGATCTAGGTTGAGTTTAGCTTATGTTGGATGGGTTTGTTCGAGTGTCAGTAGATGGCTGGTTTACTTATGCATCTGAAATTTGGTCAGGGCTCTGCTCTAGGTTGTGCTTGCCTAGGGCACCTCAGTTGATATTTCTCTGCTTCAGATGTTGTTCATCCTCCTCACAGCACCATAGGGCTACCCCAGACATGGTTTTGATGTGGAGATGTGAGCAGCTCAAAAGCTAGTGAGATCAACCTTGCAAAAACTTTTCAAGACACTGCTAGTGTCTGGTCATATTGGCCAAAGCCAATCACAAACCAAGCCTAGGGACGAAGAATGATACCTATCCACAGTGGGAGAGCGTTGAAAACTTAGAAGAAGTTATGGATAGATGGAGTGGTAAGGAATTGGGGCCATTAATGCAATCTAGACAAAGTCTGTAAACTATGCTAATTTAATCTTCTGAGTACTTCCTTCTTTTGTTCCAAGTCTCAAGCTGCTTTTGTTTCCCGATATTATATGAATATTGTTTCTTCCTATACTGCTTTTGTGATTACTGTGACTGCTTTTGTGACTATGACAAAATATATACAAGCCAAACTAATATTTTGATACTTTATATGTTCTCAATTAGCAATTCATCATCCAAAAAAGGAAACAAATTATTTTTTTATATATATATATAAATATAAACCCGGGAATTTTACCAATTTGGTTCAACAAATTGAATCATAAAAAAATTTCTAGGCCGGGCGCGGTGGCTCACGCCTGTAATCCCAGCACTTTGGGAGGCCGAGGCGGGCGGATCACGAGGTCAGGAGATCGAGACCATCCTGGCTAACAAGGTGAAACCCCGTCTCTACTAAAAATACAAAAAATTAGCCGGGCGTAGTGGCGGGCGCCTGTAGTCCCAGCTACTTGGGAGGCTGAGGCAGGAGAATGGCGTGAACCCGGGAGGCGGAGCTTGCAGTGAGCCGAGATCCCGCCACTGCACTCCAGCCTGGGCGACAGAGCGAGACTCCGTCTCAAAAAAAAAAAAAAAAAAAAAAAAAAAAAAAAAAAAAAAAAAAAAAAAAATTTCTAGGATTACCCATATTTAATGTTATTTATCGCATTTCTGATGACTAAACATTTGAATATGTTACTCTCTAATTAGCATACTAATATTAATATTTCTAGATAGATTTACATGGATGAATAATGTATTTTCTATTTTTTGTGGATTATATGTCATTTTAAATTGTTTTTTCCAACAATAACAAAATCTGATAAATTTAGTCTGCTTTCTACTATTTACTGGATGTCTCAGAGGCATAGTTTAGAGATACGTTGTGTGCAATAGACATATAAATGATTTGTTTACATTACTCCATATAAATGATTTGTTTGTTTAATGTCTTGGAAATTATTTTATGTCTTATGGTTGCTGATTCTGTTGTCATCAGATTACTACAATAAACAAGATCTGTATCTAATTTGATCTTCTTTTAACTTCCCTAAACCAAAGGCAGGTGCTATTATCTCCAATATTTTTTATGTTAATGGCATTTATAACAATTTCATAATAAAGTATAACATTTATAATATTTTAACTTTTCCTTATTAAAATTATTTTTTCAAAAATTATGAAATATTTTGAGTAAGAAAAACATAACACATTATAAGGAATACCCGTGCATAACCTACCAGGATGTAAGAAAACTTAGCATGTAGATACATTTGCATCAAACCTATTATTTTAAAAATCTAAAATATTATAAATGAATGGTTGCATTCTTTGATTTCTCAGTAATTCTTCAATGAGGCACTATCCAGGTGTTGGTTTTCAGACCATTGATTAATTTTGTAATATTTTTGCTATATACATATATGTTTACATATAAGATATAATGTTTTGCTACTTTACTGTACAGGAATAAAATCATCTGTACACACAATTTTTGTAGTTTAGTGGTTCTACTAACAATTTTGTGTTCAGGTTAATCTGTGTTTATATATGTAAAAGCAGTTTATTTTATAAATTGCTTGTTATTTAGTCCATTTTTTAAATTCACATGAGCCATGGTGTTTTCGCAGCATTTATCTAGATCTGGATTTGTTCAGTCTAATGAGACCTTTCAAATCTACTAGATGCAATAGTTATCTATCACTGTGTAATAATTGTTCCCAAAACATTCTACCACATTTTTTGTGGGTGAGGAATGCAGGCACGTCTAAGCTGGATACTCTCCCGGCTTTGTCTTTCTCAAGGCTGCAGTCATCTCAAGGTTTGACTGAGGGTGAATCTGCTTGCAAGATCACCTGATGCAGTCTTTTGTAGGATTCCATGGCTTACAGGATGTTGAACTAAGGGTCTCTTCTTCATTGGCTGTTGATTGAAGGCCAGTCTTAGTCCTTGCCAAAGGGCAGTTCACAAATGACAGTTGGCTTTGTCAAAGTGAAGAAGTGAAAGAGAAGGAAATAAAATAACTTTTGTAATCTAATCAGAAGTGATTTTCCATCACTTCTGCTCTATTCTTCTTATAAGAAGCAAGTGACTAAATCAGCCTATACTCAGGGAGAGAAGATTGTACAAAGACATGGATACCAAGGGGTGGGCGTCATTGGAAACTATTTCTGATGCTGCCTACTACACTGGCTATTTGCAAGCTGCTTTCAAAGCACCTGCTCCAAATTTGAACTTCACCAACATGATATTAAGTCACTATTCCTCCATTTCTTGCCAACACAATATAGATGGATTAGTGTTTTTACCCATGGATTGTTAAATGTCTAAATGTTTATTCTTTATAGTCCCGATTATCAATGTTATTTATTAGTTTATCTATATGTTTATTCAACTTTTGAAGTCCTTTTTGCTGTGAATTATTGGTACGTTGCCACAAATTTTCCCCATCACTATAATGCGTGTTCATTTGCAATGTGACTTTGCAGTTCCTGTCTTGAATAAATAAACACAATTTCTCTAACCCTTTGATTCCAAGCTGCAATAAGCTTGCTTTAATCTATAGAATGTTATAGAATTGATGTTAGGTGCATTTCAAATCTAGACTTCAAGAGAATTTATAAACTCTGCTTGTGCTCAGCTGAAACCCTGGCCTGAGACCCTCTTGGGGAAAACCTAAATATAGTCTCTGATGATGAGAGACCACAGAGAGACAGAGAAGCCCAGCTAAGAGGTTTTGGCAATGCTGAAATATGTGAATGAGGCCTTCTCATACCATGTAGTCACAGTCTAACTATCAAGTAATTGGAATTACATGAATGATCCCAGATGGGACTAGAACAAGAATTCCTCAGTTTAGGAAAACTCAAATTCCTGAAACTACAGAGCAATCAGTAAATAAATAATTGTTTGGAATGTGACACTATATAACCTACACAATGTTTAAGGTTGTGCAGAATTTTTTTTTCTTTTTTGAGATGGAGTTTCACTCTGTCTCCAGGCTTGAGTGCAGTGGTGCAATCTCAGCTCACTGCAACCTCTGCCTCCTGGGTTCAACTGATTCTCCTGCCTCAGCCTCCCGAGGAGCTGGGACTACAGCTAATTTTTGTATTTTCAGTATAAATGGGATTTCACCATGGTGGCCAGGATGGTCTCAATCCCTTGACCTCGTGATCTGCTCGCCTAGGCCTCCCAGAGTACTAGGATTACAAGCATAAGCCACTGTGCCCGGCCAGGTCATGCAGAATTTAATGACTACCTAGGGGATTTGAGAAAAGACGCATGCAAATCAGTCAAGGAAGAGCCTTAGCAAATAAATCAGATCATCAATGAAATGTTGAATTGTCAGCACAATCACCATGATCATCATCATCCTCATTATCATCATTATCACTATCTCAAGAAAGGAACAAGGCAGGAAATTTGTCTTTTTGGTTTGGGTACCATATGAGGTGAAAAAGTAATGTTTTTACTCAAATTTTGAACCAAAATTAGCTATCCTAACATATTTGGGTTTAAACCATTCAAATTACTACTAATTGTCTATCTAAAGAAACATTAAGGCAAGAGTTTTAATACAAAGTTGTCCTTATAAATTGCATTTATTGGTGAAGAAAACACATCATTTGGGGAAATGCAAACAAAAGTAATTCAGTTTTCTGTTGTAAAGTTGCATAGATATGATCTTAACCTGACACATTAGCACAAACAGCTGCTGAAATAGAAAAGAAATCAACATATATTGTGAGCAAATATCATTAAAAATGGGCAAGTGATACCAACAAGGACTTCAGATGTCTGAACATCTGATAGTCTGATAGAATTGGTAATATTTAATATTATCAATTTATACTGTGGTATTAATACATCCAACAAAGATGGATGTACTATGATGATCAATATAAATATTTGTTTAAATTAGTTCATCTTGGCCGGGCGAGGGGGCTCATGCCTGTAATTGCAGCACTTTGGGAGGCCGAGGCAAGTGAATCATTTGAGGTAAGGGGTTCAAGACCAGCCTGCCCAACATGGTGAAATCCTGTCTCTATTTAAAATACAAAAAAATTAGCCGGGCGTTGTGGCAGGTGCCTGTAATCCCAGCCACTCGGGAAGCTGAGGTAAGAGAATCACTTGAATCCAGCAGGCGGAGGTTGCAGTGAGCCGAGCTGGTGCCACTGCACTCCAGCCGAGGCGACTGAGCGAGACTCCTACTCAAAAAAAAAGAAAAAAAAAAAAAATTAGCATATCTTTGTTGGATATACTAATACCACAATACAAATTGATAATATTAAATACTTTTAAGTAATAAAAATAAAGAATGAGAAACAAAAAATTAAGTAATCAAAAATATTTAGGTATACATAAAACAAATTAAATGGAATTACTAGATATGGAAACTATCTGAAGTACAAACACAATGACCTGTTTAATAATACTTTATATACAAATAACATAACTACAGTTATATACAGATAAAGCTAGGATTAATAAACTGAAAGGCAAATTAAATAAAAAACTACAGCCAATAGAGTCTAATATGTTAAAAAGATAAATTAGGGATCCAGAGGCATACTGGATAGAGTTATGCAAATAGAAAGTTACACTCAATGTTGCAGAAACCAATGATAATGTTTTCAAGTCTGTGTTATGACAAGAAAAGCATCCATTACCACATCATACTCAAAGGCTTCCTCTCAGCGAAAGTTCTGACAGCCAGGGCTAAATTTCTTATTTTTTGTTTGCTTTCCTTTTTTTTTCAGATGGAGTTTCACTCTTGTTGCCCAGGCTGGAGTGCAATGGCTTGATCTCGGCTTACTGCAACCTCTGCCTCCTGGGTTCAAGTGATTCTTCAGCCTCAGCCTCCCGAGTAGCTGGGATTACAGGCATGTGCCACCACACCTGGCTAATTTTGTGTTTTTAGTAGAGACAGGGTTTCTCCATGTTGGTTAGGCTGGTCTTGAACTCCCGACCCCAGATGATCCGCCCGCCTCAGCCTCCCAAAGTGCTGGGATTACAGGCATGAGCCACCTCGCCTGGCCAGGTCTAAGGTCTAAATTTTAATTCCTATCCTTCTGTATGGGCCAAATGAATAGGCTTTCTTTCTCAGATTAAGAAGCCAATGTGTGTGCAGAATATTTTGGAACCAACAAGTCAAAAATGGAGTTTCTATTGGAATTACTAATAACTTGTTAGTCACATAAGGCATATATCTGTTATGTAGCCATAGTATGTTTGCATCAATCAGGTATTAGCTGGTTTTGCATGGTAGCAAATTATCCAAAATCTTGGCGGATTATTATAATAATCCCTCAAGGCTTGCTTCCATTAAGACTCACTGAGCTAAGATCAGAGCAGAACTGAAAGAGACAGAGACACAAAAACCCTTCAAAAAATCAATGAATCCAGGAGCTGGTTTTTTGAAAAGATCAACAAAATTGATAGACTGCTAGCAAGACTAATAAAGGAGAAAAGAGAGAAGAATCAAATAGACGCAATAAAAAATGATAAAGGGGATATCACCACCGATCCCACAGAAATACAAACTACCATCAGAGAATACTATAAACACCTCTATGCAAATAAACTAAAAAATCTAGAACAAATAGATAAGTTCCTGGACACATACACCCTCTCAAGACTAAACCAGGAAGAAGTTGAGTCCCTGAACAGACCAAATAACAGACTCTGAAATTGAGGCAATAATGAATAGCCTACCAACAAAAAAAGTCCGGGACCAGACAGATTCAAAGCCGAATTCCACCAGAGGTAAAAGAGGAGCTGGTACCATTTCTTCTGAAACTATTCCAATCAACAGAAAAAGAGGGAATCCTCTCTGACTCATTTTATGAGGCCAGCATCATCCTGATACCAAAGCCTGGCAGAGACACAACAGAAAAGGAGAATTTTAGACCAATATCCTTGATGAACATCAGTGCAAAAATCCCCAATAAAATACTGGCAAACCGAATCCAGCAGCACATCAAAAAGCTTATCCACCACAATCAAGTTGGCTTCATCCCTGAGATGCAAGGCTGGTTCCACATACACAAATCAATAAACGTAATCCATTATATAAACAGAACCAAAGACAAAAACCACATGATTATCTCCATAGATGCAGAAAAGGCCTTCGACAAAATTCAACAGCGCTTCATGCTAAAAACTCTCAATAAACTAGGTATTGATGGGACATATCTCAAAATATTAAGAGCTATTTATGACAAACCAACAGCCAATATCATACTGAATGGGCAAAACCTGAAAGCATTCCCTTTGAAAACTGGCACAAGACAAGGATACCCTCTCTCACCACTCCTATTCAACGTAGTGTTGGAAGAACTGGCCAGGGCAATCAGGCAGGAGAAAGAAATAAGGGGCATTCAATTAGGAAAAGAGGAAGTCAAATTGTCCCTGTTTGCAGATGACATGATTGTATTTTAGAAAACCCCATCATCTCAGCCTCAAATCTCCTTAAGCTGATAAGCAACTTCAGCAAGGTCTCAGGACACAAAATCAATGTGAAAAAATCATAAGCATTCCTATACACCAATAACAGACAAACAGAGAGCAAAATCATGAGTGAACTCCCATTCACAATTGCTACAAAGAACATAAAATACCTAGGAATCCAACTTACAAGGGATGTGAAGGACCTCTTCAAGGAGAACTACAAAGCAATGCTCAACGAAATAAAAGAGGACACAAAACAAATGGAAGAACATTCCATGCTCATGGATAGGAAGAATCAATATCATGAAAACGGCCATACTGACCAAGGTGATTTATAGATTCAATGCCATCCCCATCAAGCTACCAATGACTTTCTTCACAGAATTGGAAAAAAACTACTTAAAAGTTCATATGGAACCAAAAAAGAGCCCACATCACCAAGACAATCCTAAGCAAAAAGAATGAAGCTGGAGGCATCACACTACCTGACTTTAAATTATACTACAAGGCTACAGTCACCAAAACAGCATGGCACCGGTACCAAAACACAGATGTAGACCAATGGAACAGAACAGAGCCCTCAGAAATAATACCACACACCTACAACCATCTGATCTTTGACAAACCTGACAAAAACAAGAAATGGGGAAAGGATTCCCTATTGAATAAATGGTGCTGGGAAAGCTGGCTAGCCATATGTAGAAAGCTGAAACTGGATCCCTTCCTTACACCTTATACAAAAATTAACTCAAGATGGATTAATGACTTAAATGTTAGACCTAAAACCATAAAAACCCTACAAGAAAACCTAGGCAATACCATTAAGGACATAGCCATGGGCAAGGACTTCATGACTAAAACACAAAAAGCAATGTCAACAAAAGCCAAAATTGACAAATGGGATCTAATTAAACTACAGAGCTTCTGCACAGCAAAAGAAACTACCATCAGAGTGAACAGGCAACCTACAGAATGGGAGAAAATTTTTTACAATCTACTCATCTGACAAAGGGCTAACATCCAGAATCTACAAATAACTTAAACAAATTTACAGGAAAACATCAGACAACCCCATCAAAAAGTGGGCAAAGGATATGAACAGACACTTCTCAAAAGAAGACATTTATGCAGTCAACAGACACATGGAAAAATGCTCATCATCCCTGGCCATCAGAGAAATGCAAATCAAAACCACAATGAGATACCATCTCACACCAGTTAGAATGGCGATCGTTAAAAAGTCAGGAAACAACAGGTGCTGGAGAGGATGTGGAGAAATAGACACACTTTAACACTGTTGGTGGGACTGTAAACTAGTTCAACCATTGTGGAAGACAGTGAGGCGATTCCTCAAGGATCTAGAACTAGAAATACCATTTGACCCAGCCATCCCATTACTGGGTATATACCCGAAGGATTATAGATCATGCTGCTCTAAAGACACATGCACACGTATGTTTATTGTGGCACTGTTCACAATATCAAAGACTTGGAACCAACCCAAATGTCCAACAATGATAGACTGGATTAAGAAAATGTGGCACATATACACCATGGAATACCATGCAGCCATAAAAAAGGATGCGTTCATGTCCCTTGAAGGGACATAGATGAAGCTGGAAACCATCATTCTGAGCAAAGCATCACAAGGACAGAAAACCAAACACTGCATATTCTCACTCATGGTGGGAAATGAACAATGAGAATATTTGGAGACAAGGTGGGGAATATCACACACTGGGGCCTGTCATGGGGTGAGGGAAGCGGGGAGGGATAGCATTAGGAGATATACCTAATGCTAAATGATGAGTTAATGGGTGCAGCACACCAACATGGCACATGTATACATATGTAACAAACCTGTACGTTGTGCACATGTACCCTAGAACTTAAAGTATAATAATAATAATAAAAAAAGACTCAGTGAGCAGATCTGCTCTGTTCCACATAGTGATAATGCAATGTAGGTCATGGCAGGTCTGCTTGCACAGGTGATTCCACAATTGCCAACTTGGGATAAAAAAAACTTTCTGGGAAAGCAACATACTTTCTTCTCATAGTGTGTTTCCCTACATTAGTCAAAATGACACAACTGACCTCAAAGTGCTCAGAGAAGTATAATGTATATTCTGCAGAGAAAATAAATTGTCAGTAGCCCTAATGATTACTTACAATACAGTTATTTTAAAAAGAAATAAGTAAAAAGATATTCCTTCAAGATTTAAAATATTTCATACATACTAGGAAGACCATCCCAAGAAATTATCTAATCTAGTTCTTAATATTTAAAATATTTTTTCATACTTATGTGAACTCTACTTAATGTTTACCCTTAATGAAAATTTTATTCAATATTAAAATTAATTTGTGTCAACTTTAAAATTACATATTTAGAGAAAAGAATAACATACTTATTGAAATGGTTTGTGTGGTTATAAATCAGAAGACATTCAGACAGAAGACTGTCATATTTTAAACTCTAATTGTAAGAAGAATGTAAATGAACTTCAACAGAACTAGTTATGCTTAATAACATTTATTTTATAAAATTTAATGAGCACTTCAAGACTATAACGTTAATGTATTCTTGTTAGAAAAATAAATTAGAAACAGAAAATTATAAAAAGTATATTGTCTAAAAATTATAAAAAAGCCATTATTAAGATTTAACCTTGGTTGAGGCTGGGTGGGGTGGCTAATGCCTCTAATCCCATCACTTTGGGAGGCTGCAGCAGACAGATATTTGAGCCCAGTAGTTAGAGACCTGCCTGGGAAACACAGCGAGACCCAGTCTCTTAAAAAAAAAAATAAAAAAGATTTAACCTTGGTGCATATGGACATATATCTACATATAGGTACAAATGTCTATAGAGATATATACATACAGATAGGAATTTAATTATTCAGTTCTTCTGTATTCAATATTTATTAAGTACTATATGCCAGGAAGTTATGACATTTGAATACAAGATGAAACAAAACAGAAAAAATAATGTCTCACATTCATCAGGCTTAAATTCTAGTAAAATCAATATTACTTGATTGACCTCAAAGTAATATATTTGTCATAAATACCACTATATGTATTTTAGAAGTGGTTACATATGTAAATGTATAACTCATGTATCCACGATACACATTTAGTCACATATATTAATAAGTAATAATGTTCACATATAAATTTTGTAAAATTATGTATACACACATATAGAGGAAACATATATCTAGTTTATTTCAGAGTTGAATGCATATTTATGCATATTTAGAAGTTTGTCTTTTCACTTAATGATGCACTGTAAATATGTTTTTGTGCCTTCAAAATACCTACATCATCAATTTAAATGGGTGAATAGCTATTCAATTATTTTGTTACCATATTGACATTATTTAATATGTTTAGTTGAAATTCAAGCTATTTAAAACATTTTGTAGTTTAATAATATTAATAAAGCTATAAATAAAAATAAAATAAGATTCATCTATACTAATATGTTCCTCATGTCGAAATTAAAATTTACTGCCAAAACTAATGACATATATTTGATGGATGAAAATGCCCATTTTTTTTGTTGTTGATGCCTTTAAAGGCTAAACTGAGTTTTTGCTTAGTGAATTAATCTAAATACTCAAATACATTTTCTCAGTGGATCTGTCAAGATACATACAAAACTCAGAATTCATATTTAAATAAAGGCCAGGCACGGTGGCTCACGCCTGTAATCCCAGCACTTTGGGAGGCCAAGGTGGGTGGATTACCTGAGATCAGGAGTTGGAGACCAGACTGGTCAACATAGTGAAACCCTGTCTCTACTAAAAATACAAAAATTAGCCGGGCTTGGTGGCACGTGCCTGTAATCCCAGCTACTCGGGAGGCTGAGGCAGAGGAATCTCTTGACCCAGGAGGAGGAGGTTGCAGTGAGCTGAGATTGCACCACTGCACTCTGATCTGGGCAACAGAGTGAGACTCTGCCTCAAAAACAAAAAAAAAAAAAAAAAAAAGAAAGAAAGAAAGAAGGAAAGAAAGAAAAAGAGTATATATATACACACACACACATATATTATATATATTTAATTAAAGTACATTTTCTAGAACATAAAGTATATAATCTTCAATTTAAAAATACAATATGCCTTTTAAAAGGGGGGTGGATATCCCTGATATGTAAATTGTTCTTTCATTCTTTTTGTAAATCATTTTGGTTTACTCTGACATGAACACTTTACTAAAAATATATTGGATAAAACATTTCCTGTTATAATGCTGAATCATTTGCTAACACTATTTGAAATCCCTGGATCAGTTCTTCACTTTGCCTCAGTGTACATGGCCACAAAATGTGAGAAAACCAACAGTATTTTTATCACTCTAAATATTTTTCAGTCTCAGGAATGCTGAAATTAATAATGTGAATCTATTCTATGCGATTTTATATGCAAATCAGAGAGTAAAAAAAATGTCCTTTCAAGAAACCGGTAGTAATATTCTTAAGCATAATTGTCATGCTTTAAAGCTGTTCAGATTTATTTTAGAATGAGAAAATACTAAGTATATTTTATGTGGCATACACATTTCAGGAATTTTGAAGAGAAAATATTTAAAAATTATAGATACAAATAAAGTAACACAATATTTAAAAATGATTCTCTTGAAAAAGATAATTTATAAAAAGTGAAAAGTTTAAGGTAATATTTTACTTTTAAAATTATTAATATTACATATATTAAAACTGAAACATAGATTTATTGTTCTGCTTGAATATTCATGGGATGAACATCTCTTTTTAGTATTTACATTAGTATATTTCCTAATATCTAATTCAGTTAGTTTACTATTACCAAGATTCCATCATTTATCATGCATCTCTCTCTTTCTCTCTCTCTCTCTCTCTCTTGTTCTCTCTCCTATTTATCTATCATCTGTCTATCTATTCAGGTTCACTTATGTACATCTGTTTCTCTTCTTGTCTGCCTTATTTAGACAATTTGAAGGGATTCTTGCAACTGTAAAAAACTAATATTCAAATAAAAGCAATCTATTTATAAAAATTTGGCACCAGTATAGGTTCAGAAATCCATGTTGAAATATTTTATGTGGGTAAAATCACTTTGGTGATATTATTAGCATTGATTGGTTTGGATATAAGTAAAATGAACTTCAAGCATACATATATATTTTAACCAAAACTCTTCAGCTCTTACTTTTAATTAAGGATAGCTTAAGTAATGACTAGAATTCAATACAGACAGTTATCAAAGGTACATTCGAAACTTAAAAGAAGAGGAAAGAGTTGTGTTTAATCACTGGAATGTATATAAATATATGTTTTTATAATTTTTATGTAAAAGCTTTATTTAATTCTTTATATACAAATTATTCTTCCCTAGGCTTCTAGCTTTAGAAAATCAATCTAATGAAGTAAAACTAACAACGTTTGCCTGAAACCAAAATTAATGTTTCTTTAACTTACCACATATTCTAGATTTAACTATGTATTTTCTTTCTTTTAGACGAAATGTTTAATTACTGTAATTAATAACTTGCTACTAAAATAGAAATAAAAAACTTTTTCCTCTTAAATTGGTATGTATACATTGGGTAGTTGAGGGATGTACTCACGGTGACCAGGCGTGAAGCCCTTTAGCGACTGGAGTACAGGTAAGAGGCAAATTTAGTTAAGGAAGATGGGACAGTTTATGGAGAAGTGCCAGAAACTAGCCTCAGTATTAATTGCCTGGAGAATTGTACGCAGTGTGGCAGAGCTAAAACGTAGATCTCAAGTCAGAGATAAAAAAAGGCTAGGAAAATAATAACTCTAAGTTGAATATCTCATAGGCATAGTTCCACAGAAGCCCGACACATCTCAAATAATCGTAAGTATTTTTATTTTTAATTCAGCAAAAATTATACAAACTTATGGTATACAGCATGTTGTTTTGAAATATATAAACATTATAGAAAAATTAAATTGAGTTAATTAACATGTACATTATCTCACTTATATGTGGAATCTAAAGAAGTTGGACTCATAAAAAGTGGAGAGGAGAACGGTGGTTACCAGGGACTGAGTGCAGGGGGATTGGGTTGATGTTGGTCAAAAGATACAAAAGTTCAGTTAAATTGCAAGAATAAGTTGAAGAGATCTATTGTACCATGCGATGACCAGAGTTAAAACTAATGTTTTGTATCCTTGAATTGCTAGGAGGGTAGACTTTAGGTGTTCTCATCTCAAATGATTGTAATTAAACTATAGTGATAGATGTCTCAGGCAGAATTACAAGTTTATGTAAAAGGCGTTGATTTGAATCAAACACATAGAAATTCACAGTATTTGAGAAAGCTGACCCACCTGGAATAAAAGCAACAATGACTTCTTATGTTTGATTTCAGAAGCCTAATTTTTTGTATTCGGGAAGCAGAATAACCAAGCAGGTCATCCTCTTCAATGCACTCATCAGAGGTGGCTAAGGAGGATGACTGAAAAGAAAACACATCCAAGAAGTGGAGGCAAAAGTGATGGAGAATATTCAACCGGAGCATCACTACATTCTTAAAGCTTTCTATTTCTTTTATTGCTAAGAAACTACCATCTTATGATTTTTCTTTTGGACGCCTAATTTCCAACATGGTTTGCCTGCTTGACTAACTCTCAGGATTCCAGTTTTGCTAAACATTAACTTTACTTACTATTTAGACTTTTCCTAGCTTGTCTCAATGTGTGGTTTCATCTACCATATGCATGAGGTTGAGTTTCAAATTCAAATAGCTCCCAGCCAAACTATTTCCAACTATATATATTCACTTGAATGTTTAAAAAAGTACTTACTGTAAAAAATTACAAAATTACATTTAATATCTCTTTTTCTCTTTCCCCTTTTCCTACACACACACACACACACTCACACACACTATGCACACTCTTATCCACAAACTCATACAGGTATTGTACATACACAGGCATTCACACACACTCAAAAATGCTTTTTTATCTTTTATTTCATTGAATGTCAAACTATTAAACAGGCAACTATAATTTTATCTTAAAAATGTAAATTAGTTTTAACAATATTGTTACTGTGAATTTTAGTGGAATTGCAGTAACACAAATGGAGGTTTAATGGTAGTAGGTAAGAATTGCATTAAAACAGGAAAAAAAATGATGAAGTTACAGAGAGGAGTATACATGTTTGAAATGGAATTGCATTCATTATTTTAAAATTGGGAAGACGGTGATATTAAAAGTTGGTATGAAAAATAGGTTAAATGAATAAAATAAGATTTCTGACCACATGAATGGGAAGCAATTAGTCATAAAAATATTTCTGGGAAGAAATTTTATGATCTTCTCATAGCTGAGTAAAGAATATTATATTTATGCTTACATTATGCAAAAAAGGGAATATAAGTCTTCAAATAAAACATTTAAATAAAATCAGTCTATAAATTGTGGTAGCTGTTAGTAGCTATGTAAAAATTTATTTAATTAATAAAATGTTTATTTAGTGGCTAGACTTTCAGGTTCTCAGAGTTACGACTGCTGTTGGCACAAAGAGAAATAATCAAATGGAAATTTTAAAATGAAAGATAATTGAATAATCTTGTCTAGCAATGATATTGGAAAATACTGTTTTTTGAAAGTTTTTATTACCCTGCTTGTCTAATAACTGATTTTTTGAAATAGATCATAAAGTTATAAATTACTATACCTTTTAACATAATGATTAGTGATACAGCATATTAAAAATAGAAAAAGTTAATTAAATATACATTTAGGAAAATGTAAAATCACCAGATTATCTTAAAGACCCATTTTTCTGTTTTTGATTCTCACAGTTTTTCAAAAGAAATGTATAGAAACCTGCAAAATTATGAGAAGAAAAAAATAAACTGTAACAAGAGCAAACTTTAAAATTATCCCCGCTAATATTCCTGTTGTGATTAATCATGATCTTTAACTGACCTGTCAAACATGGCCAAATGTAAGATATAATATGGCTTCCAACTTTTATAGATACTTCAAAATACACTAGTTTCTCCAGAGGAAATTTGTAGCATTTTAAAAAACACTCACTTCATAGGTTTTTGCAAAAACATTATGATCATATCACCATATGCAGAAAAAGCATTTCATGAAATACAACACCCAATTGTGATAATTCTCAATAAACTGGGAATAGAGAACTTCCTTAGCCAGAAATAGAATATTTACAAAATCCCTATAGCTAACTTTATTCTTAATGTTGAGAAACTTGAAGCTCCCCTACTAAGATTCAGAGAAAGGCAAGGATGTCTTCTTCTCACCACAGCTTTTCAATATCATACTGAAAGTTCTAGCTAATGCAATAAGAAAGGAAACAAAATGTATAAGTATTGAGAAAAAATAAATAAGCCTATTTTTGTTTAAAGATGGCAAGACTATCCATGTAAAAAACCTAAAGGAATCAACAACTACAACAAATAACTTCTGGAACTAGCAAACAATTATAGCAAGGTTGCTGATTACAAGTCTAATGTACAAATGTCAGTTTATTTTTTATAGACCAGCCATGAACAGTTAAATTTGAAATAAAAAAAAACAGAAATAACATTACTTTTATATCAGCTTCCCCCAAAATGGAATACTTTAGGTATAAATTGAACAAAATATGTACAAGCTTTATACAAAAAAAACTATAAAATTCTGATGAGTTAAACAGAAAAGGACCAAATAAATGGAAACATCCCATGCTCATAAATCAGAAGACTCAATATTGGCAATATGTCATTTCTTCCCAATTTGGTCTATAGATTCAACAAAATTCCAATCACATTCCAGTAATGTATGTTGTGGACACTAGCAAGCTAATTCTAAAGTTTATATGGAGCGGCAAAAAACACAGAATAGCCAAAGCAATATTGATTGATAAGAATAAATTGAAGGACTGTCTATACCCATCTCTAAGGCTTACTATAAAGGTACAGTAATCATGACAGTCTGATATTGGCAAAAAGAGACAAATAGACCCATGGAACAGAATAGATAACCAACAAATAGACCTGCATAAATATAGTCGACTGATTTTGGAACAAAAAGCAATGCAGTATAATGTAGCAAAGATAGTCTTTTCAGCGAGAGGTACCAGAATAACTAGACATGCAAAAAAAGTGAGTCTAGACACAGATCTTACACCCTCCACAAAAATTAACCCAACATGAATCATAGGATCAAATGTAAAACATAAAACTATAAAACTAAGAGGTAACAAAGGAGAAAATCTAGCTGATCATCAGTATGGAAATAACGTTTTAGGAAGAACACCAAAGCCATGATCCAAGAAAGAAATCAATCATTAAGCCAGCCATTGAAAACTTCTGCTCTGCAGAAAACAAAGTCAAGAGAATGAAGAGAAATGCCACAGACTGGGAAAAAATGTTTGCAAAAGATAAATCTGATTAAGGGGAGTTGTGTAGAATTTACAAAGTACCCTTAAACCCCGGTAATAAGAGAAAGTCTGATTGAAAAAATAGCTCAATAACCTTAACAGACACTTCATCAAAGAAGACACATGCATGGCAAATTAGCATAGGAAAAGATGCTCCATATCGTATGTCATAAAGGAAAGGCCAGTTAAAACAACAAGATACCACTACCCACCTATTATAATGGTCAAAATCTAGGACACTGACGGCATCAAATGCTGACAATGATGTTGAGAAATAGGAACTGTCATTCACTGCTGGTGGGAATACAAAATGGGACAGTTACTTAAGAAGGCAGTTTGGCAATTTCTTACAAGACTAAACATATCCTTACCACATGATCCACCAATCGTACTCCTTGGCATTTACCTAAAGGAGCTGAAAACTTCCACACAAACCTGCACACAAATGTTTATGGCAGTTTTGTTCATAATTAACAAAACTTGGAAGAAATCAAAATGTACTTCAGTGGGTGAATGGATAAATAAACCGCAGTAAATCCAGACAATGGAATATTATTCAACAGTAAAAAGAACTGAGTTATTAAGATGTGAAAATACAGGAAAGAAACTTAAATGCACATTGCTAAGTGAAATAAGTCAATCTAAATCCTTTATATATTACAGGATTCCAACTACATAACATTCTGGAAAAGACAAAACTGTGAAGACAGCAGAAGAGAATTGGTTGCCAACAGATGACATAGAGGTGAGAGGGATGAAAAGGCAAAGCAAATAGTTTAAGGACATTGTGTAAACTCTATATGTTACTATAATTATATATATGTGATATTGCAAATGAATATTACATTATGCATGTGTCCAAACCCCTAGGATGTACAACATTGAGAGTGAACCCTAATGTAAACTACAGCCTTTGGATGATTATGATGTGTCAATACAGGTTCATCAATTGCAACAAATATGACTTCTGGTGAGGGATGTTCATAGTCCCTCACCAGAGCAAGCTATACAACATGTGTGAGGTCACAGGCTATATGGGAAATTCCTGTACCATGCTCCCAATTTTGCTGTGAACCTAAAACTGCTCAAAAAAAAATGAAATCTTAAGAAAACATTGAACAACATTATAGGTAATATCTTCAATGATAATTTCATAGAAAACGTGATGTTTTAAATAGAACCATTTTGAAGTAAAATTTATTAATGCACATCATTTGATCAAATGGGTTTACATGGTAGTTGATTTATAATGATAGCAAATAACAGAAAAGATGGAATGAACAGTACAACGAACATACCACACAATTAAATGATATCCCCTGAGGCCATTTTTATATAGACTTGGAAAAAGAACTGTACCGAGTCAATTCAAGCTAAATACAAGAGATTGGCAACACTGGTCGTGTGTTGCTTTTTAAAAAATTTAGGTGACAATTTTCAGATCTATCATGAAAGTCAAAAACACTTACCAATTCTCCCTGAGTTTGGAGGATCACTCTGGAGATGAGGCTGATTGATGTTTTTGGCCAAGAACAACTTTTTTTTTTCATCAATACAAATTTCTGATTTTCTGAAATGTGTGAGACGTGAGATGTGTGAATGAATTCCGAATTGAATTTCCAATAATGTAAAAACATCTACGTATTTTCTTAGAAAATGTCAAGACAAAGTTTAAGAGCCATCTATATTGGTAGACTATCTGATTTTAAGTTACACTACCCTCACCCAAATTTCTATAGAGCAGTCAGATGGATTTATTGCATAATAAACCATTAGATAGCTAAAATAATCTCCAGTTGATTGAACTATTTCAAGAGTATTATCAAGATAGCATAAGACATTTTTCTTTCAATCTCATGATAAGTAATCCTGTAGTGTTCTTCTAAACTTTATTTTCAGGTTTTAAATATGATTTAAAGAAAAAGATGAAAAAATGTTCGTTCTATCATTTTATGCTGAATTCTAATCATTCTTGTCTTGCCCATTCTTGTCTTGCCCATTCTTTTTGATATAGTAACAACAGATAAAGCACAAGGTACCTATCAGGCATTGCATGTTTATTATGTACATGTATTTTTCCAATAACCCTTTAAGTTAGTATTCTTATAATTATTGCTGTTTTATAGATGAAGCAACTTGTGAGTGTTATTTCGACTACCACTGTTGTAGATAAATAATTTACTTTTCCATACTCAAAGATATAGTAAGTGACAAACCTGGATTAAAACTAGTTATTTTCAATTCCAAGCCAATATACTATAATGCTTCCCACACAAATGGCAATATCACATATACTTTGGACCTTTTGAGTTCATATTATCTATATCAGTACTGATTTCGGACAGTAAAAAATAGTTATTGATTGCAATGTTATCAAGAATCCAGTATCAATAGTCTTTTAAAAGACTATAAGCCTGCAGTATTACAGAAAGACACGATTATTCAATTAATTTTATTCATGGATTTAAAAGCATTTATTTGAATATTTTACTGTATTTGAAGAATTTGAACAATTAAAAATGCATGAATTTTTTAAATCTATAAATTGTAAGGTGAGGTTTTAACATTTTATAATCCAGCATCAATCAAAGGAAATTATATTTGAGAAATTAAATTTAACATCTAACAAATATTGGTACTGTCACTCATAAAAGGGTCAAATTACTTTATGCCAAAAAGAGATTCCTGGAGTCCATTATTCAATTTAATGAATGTAATCAAATGAGAAAAATAAAAGGTGTTAATCAAAGGGGAAAATTCTAGAAAAGTTTCTCTATTGAGGATGTATCCATGGTCATAGTGACAAAGTTAATGAGATTTTGACATGTGGATGTTAAATCTCTTGTTAAGGGGAAAAATGTGTCAGATCTCTGAAGGATCTTAGCATACATTTGCCAAAATCAATGGTTGTAATACATAAAAAGCTTAAATTTCTATTTTACATTATCATTTATTTCTAAATGTAGCTAGCTTTATTTAAAAAATAGAACATTCACACATATACGCATGCACACATACACACACGAATCTCCCCAGGGGAACACATTCATTTCTAGTAGTATTACCAAGATTCAAGCACATGGGTAATGTGCTGCCCTACCAGATTGCCATTGCTATGATGTCCCTAGGAGACAGAAACTTTTCAGCTTCATCGTATTCTTACAGTACCACTGTTGTATATGGGTCTATTGTTAACTAAAACATCATTATGCAGTATATGGCTGTACTAAAAACAAAATGAATCAGGATACACAGGGTTTGTGCTAGGAATTTAGGGTAAACTATTATTAGAAAAGCCTACCACAATTATTTGTTATCTTATTCTCTATCTTAGAGATATTTTGTCTTGGTTAATAAGAACGTTGACAGTTATGAAAGAGAAAAGTATATAATAGCAATTTAAAGAAGAAATAAAAACTAAATAAGCATGATATAGAGAAAATTAACTAGTTTTTTAAAAAAAATTTATTATGCATTTGGAAATACAAGAATTGGAATTATCACTGTAAACTGTAAACTAAAAACCAAAAAACAAAAACCTTTGTGCTTTGCAAAATGTTAATGGCAGCATTTTAAAATGTGGTCTTTCAAACCATTTTTATAAGCTCCTAGCCTTTAAAAAATTAAATATAAGCTCTCAGTTTTTATATTTAACGCTCTTTCCAAATTGAAAAGTAAGTACATAAACTATTTCAGAGTAGCTGATTTCAGGATGTTTGCAGACTTTTTTTTTCTGTTATAAGACACTTCTAATAACCAATGTTGCTTATTACCATTATTAATGAGGGAAAATTATAAAATAAAATTTGTGTTTTATATCTGTATCTGTTTTCATATCTGATTTTTCTGAGGAGCCAAAATAGTGTGAGAAAAATTAAACCCTCAACAAGAAAAAAAAGGAAAAAAAATGTAGTAAGCATTTTGCTTGGGTGCTTCATACACGGTAGTCTTTTCAACTCTACTTTAGAGAAATTGACAATGAGTCACTGTGTGCGATATACTCACTCTGGAGAACCAGAACCACACCCATACAAAGTTCTAGTCTGAGAGCAGATTTTACTTGCTCTGGTGTCCTGAGCTCCGTTTTCTTTCTGCATTGATTCAGTGCCTTGCACAAGCCAGACTTTCACCTCAATTGTTTTTGCATAAGTTTAATATTTCCTTAGGCAACCTTCAGGCAAACCTGAGCTGCTTGCATGGTCTGCCAAGTTATTTTCTAAGACAGCAGTTATTATTTTTGTTAGTGCTCTGTTTACAGGCCTGCGCAGGTTTTGGCCAATGTCATTTTCCTCATAAGCCCTGGAATCGTTTGCGGTGATTTTGCAGAATGCAGTCTTTCACAAACATATATATTGTACCCAAGCAGATATAAAGATGTTACTGGAACACCTTGCTCCAGAAAGCAAAGATGCTTTCAAGAATAGGAGAGGTGTACCTAAATGTTAAAGGGACTAATAATGTTAATAGGAAAGCCATTGACTAGGCAGTGATAATGGACAACATAATGGAATAAAAAATAGAAATATTTAGAATATATTGACACAGTCAAACCCCACCAGTATGCTCACATGGAAAAACTATAAATGAAAAATTCATAAAAAATTAAGACGGGTGACATTATTCTTAGTAGTATACATCTTTATTAATTTGTCTTTATTTAAAAATAAATAATTGTATTAGATGTTTGTTCATTTGCTTTTTTGAAATGGAGTCTCACTCTGTCGCCTAGGCTGGAATGCAGTGGTGGTGCAATCTTGGCTCACTGTAACCTCTGCCTCAGCCTCCTGAGTAGCTGGGATTACAGATGTTCACCACTATGTCTGGCATATATATACATATATATATTTATTTATATATATAATATATATTATATATAAGTATAAATATATATATATAAATAAAATACCCGGCCTGTATTAGGTGCTACAAGTTTATATGTGGTTCCGATTATCTCACAATGTTAAGCATTTGTCTGAATAAAATCTAAATTTTGGGAACAGTTTTCCAAGTAAAAAATAAAGAAGCCTAAACAAAGGGAACTGAGAATAAGCCAAAGCATCCTGAAAAAAAAAAAAAGAATATTAGGAAAAAAAGAAAGGCTTATCAGCTCCATTTCTCAACAAGGTAGTCAGGTTAAAAAGTACTTCCCAAATCTGATGGAAGATAGCAACTTGATCTACTGTCAGAGAGAATACAAACCTTTGCTCTCACCAACTCTGCTTTCCAAGGTGACATAAGCTTTGGATCATCTACCAAAATGTAATATATGACGCACATAGGAAAGCATTATATTTCTGGAAATTAAAGCAATGTGTGAAATTAAGAAAATTAAACTTGGACAACATGGGGATAGATAGAAAAAGCTTCAAGTTAAAAAGACATGCATGAGGTCTGAATGTTCTTTTGATGTAGGAAATGAGCTCTATAAAAGAGTGGCCTACATCAATGTTGTAATGGAGATTATTGAGAGAACTGAGAAGATACAATGAGGACTCATGTTTGACCTGGAAATCAGTTGACTGACAAACCAGAGTGGGTTTTTTTTTTTTTAATTTCTAGCTCTGCAATTATTATTCACTCTTTGAAAAGTGTGAAAAAAGTATGAAGATAACAAGGAAATAAAATATATGATACAATAACTTTAAGTAGTGTAGGAGTAAAAATAAAATTCTATACTCATTCAGTAATTATTGTATGTCATTTGAAGCATGTAGGAGTATATGACAAAATGATTTGTTAAAATGTAAAATTAGTACAAGAAAATGTGAAATTACTTAAGAAAACTATTGCTATAAAAGTCAAAAAAGTGATTCATCATGATTTTTTAGAATAAATGTATTTACAGTTGATAAATTAACCATTAAACAAAGTAAAAAAAATCAATAACTGTCTGCAACAAAAGATCCTTGGATATGATTACTTATAGTAATGGTCCCCAGCCTTTTTGGCACCAGTGACAGGTTTCTTGGAGGACAATTTCTCCACTGCTGAGAGGATTGGGGGTGATGATTTCAGGATGAAACTATTTCACCTCAGATCATCAGGAATTAAATTCTTATAAGGAGTGCACAACCTATATCCCTCATATGTGCAGTTCATAATAGGGTTCCCGCTCCTATGAGAATCTCATGCCTCTGCTGATCTGACAGGAGGTGAAGCTCAGGTGATAATGTGAACGATGGGGAGCAGCTGTAAATATGGATAAAACTTCACTTGCTCACCTGCCGCTCACCTCCTGCTGTGCGGCCAGTTCCTAACAGGCTATGGACAGGTACAGGTCTGTGGCCTGGGGGCTGGGGACGCCAGACTTATAATACTTACTACAATTTCCTATTGTGTTTATGTGTTAACGTCACTGCTTTTTTTTGTCTAAGTGTCACATTTTTCTGTTTACTATTATTTCTGACATACAAGACACATCAATAAATATTACTGAAGTAAAGGAAAGAAATTAATGACGAAGAGAAACCAATAAATTATTAAACTTTATCCAAAATGTTCCTAGAATGTAATAAAATTCTACAGACTTAAATTTTAAAAAGATTTCTGTTAAACTAAAAAAAAAAAAAAAAAAGAGAGAGACTATTCAAAATTATAGAGAAAATTGTCTGAGGATACCCCCAAATAATAAATTAAACTAGAAACATGATGCAGATTTGACTTTTATTTTATTTTACTTTATTTATTTATTTTTTTTGAGACGGAGTCTTGCTCTGTTGCCCAGGCTGGAGTGCAGTGGCGTGATCTCGGCTCACTGCAAGTTCCGCCTCCCGGGTTCACATCATTCTCCTGCCTCAGCCTCCTGAGTAGCTGGGACTACAGGTGCCCGCCACCGCGCCCGGTTAATTTTTTGTATTTTTAGTAGAGATGGGGTGTCACCACGTTAGCCAGGATGATCTCGATCTCCTGACTTCATCATCCGCCCGCCTCGGCCTCCCAAGATTTTACTTTTATTACTATTGATTCAGAAATCCTAAATAAAAGTTGCATAAATCATGATCTTCACCTTCATCTTGCCCTTCTTCTAGCTTGAAGCCCCATAAAAACAGTAGGGACATTGGTCTGGGATCCTTTGGATCGGTTGTGTCCTCACTTTACAGGGTCTTCTAAGGCTACCCAACTTTGAGACGCAACTTTATGACATACTAGGCAAGAATGGACGTCTTGGAGAAACACATGATTGCTTATTTACTAGCTTGGTAGTAAAACAAGTGGAAAGTATCTCAGAAGTCCCTGAATTTCTTACCAATTGTCAAATCTAGACCTTTGTGTCTCACAGAGATTAACACTTTTTTTTCTTTTTTTCTTTTCTCTTTGAGGCAAGATCTCACTCTGTCACCCAGGCTGAAGTGCAGTGGTGCCATCAAGGCTCACTGCAGCCTTGACCACCCTGGCTCAAGTGATCCTCCCACCTTGGCTTCCAGAGTAGCTGAGACTACAGTCACGTGCCACCACGCCTAGCTAATTTTTATATTTTTCGTAGATTTGGAGTTTCGTCACGTTGACCAGGCTGGTCTCTAACTCCTGGGCTCAAGCAATCCACCAGCTCCTGCCTCCCAAAGTGCTGGGAGCCACTGCACATGGCCTGAGATGAACATATTCTTGATTAGAAGTTAACATAGTAAAGCCACCAACTCTTGAAATTACAAATTAATAAAATATATTAATAATTAGAATTTTTTAAAAATTATTTTACTGAATAGAACGGGGCAAATATTTGCAACCATATATTCGATAAGAGTTGATTTCCACAATATTTGAGACTCCTACAACTCAACAGCAAATAAATAAATAAAAATAAATAAACAAACTTAAAAAAATGGGCAAAGGACTTAACTAGACATGTCTCTAAAGAAGATATACAAATGGTCAACAGGTATATCTATATCTATATCCATATCTATCTATATATATATAGAAAGATCAACATCACTAATCATCAGGGAAATATAAAGCAAGATGACAATGAGTTATCATCTCACAACTATTAGATTAGCTATTATTAAAACATCAAAAATTAATATGTATTGGCTACGTCGTGGAGAAATCAAAACCATTTTCCACTGTTGTTGAAAATGTAAAATAGTGCAGCTGGTATGGAAAATAGCATGGAAGTTCCACAAAAGAAATTAAAAATAGAACTACCATATGACCTAGCAATCATATTTTTGGGCATATATATAAAAAATTGAAATTAGAATCTTAAAGTGATATCTGCACTCCTATGTTCAGTGAAGCATTATTCTCAATAATATTCAGGATATGGAAATGTCCCAAATGCATATCAAAAGGTGAAAGAAAATTTGGTATACATATAAAATGGAATATTATTCAGCCTTAAAAATAAAAGAAATGGTGCTCTTTGCAACAACATAGATGGACTTAGCAGATGTTATGTTACATGAAATAATCCAGTCACAGATGGACAAATCCTGCATTATTCTTCTTATATGAAGCATATAAAATTGTCAAATGTATAGAAGTTGGCAATTGAATGGTAGTTACTTGAGAATGGAGAAAGAAGGAGATGTGTGTTTTGTTCAGCAGATATGACATCACAATCCTAAGCTATTTTTAATAGTGTGGTGATGAACATATGAGTGCATGTATCTTTTGGTAGAATGATCTGTTATCCTTGGGGTATACGGTAGATGCCCAATAATGGGATTACTGGATTGAATGGTAGCTCTGTTTTAAGGTCTTTGAGAAATATCCAAACTGCTTTCTACAGTAGTTTAACTAACTTACATTCCCACCAAAAGTGCATAATTGTTCCCCTTTTCCTCTGCAGCCTCACCAGCATCTGTTGTTTTGTAACTTTTAATAACAACCATTCTTACTGGTGTGAGATGGCATCTCATTCCGATTTTGACTTGCATTTCTCTGATGATTACTGATGTGGAACATTTTTATATCTTCTTTGGCCACTTGCATGTTTTCTTTTGAGAAATGTCCATTATGTCCTTTACCTATTTTTTAAATATTCTTATTATACTCTAAATTCTAGGGTTCATGTGCACAACGTGTAGGTTTGTTACATATGTATACATCTGCCATGTTGGTGTGCTGCACCCATTAACTCGTCATTTACATTAGGTGTTTCTCCTAATGCTATCCCTCCCCCCTTCCCCCACTCCCACTCCACATCAGGCCCTGGTGTGTGATGTTCCCCACCCTGTGTCCAGATGTTCTCATTGTTCAATTCCCACCTATGAGTGAGAACATGCGGTGTTTGGTTTTCTGTCCTTGTGATAGTTTGCTCAGATGTTGGTTTCCAGCTTCATCCATGTCCCTTCAAAGGACATGAACTCATCCTTTTTCATGGCTGCATAGTATTCCATGGTGTATATGTGCCACATTTTCTTAATCCAGTCTATCATTGATGGACATTTGGGTTGGTTCCAAGTCTTTGATATTGTGCATAGTGCCACAATAAACATGTGTGCATGTGTCTTTAGAGCAGCATGATTTATAATCCTTCGGGTATATAAATAAGTAATGAGATGGCTGGGTCAAATGGTATTTCTAGTTCTAGATCCTTGAGGAATCGCCACACTGTCTTCCACAATGGTTGAACTAGTTTACAGTCCCACCAACAGTGTAAAAGTGTTCCTATTTCTCCACATCCTCTCCAGCACTTGTTGTTTCCTGACTTTTTAATGATCGCCATTCTAACTGGTGTGAGATGGTATCTCATTGTGGTTTTGATTTGCATTTCTCTGATGGCCAGTGATGATGAGCATTTTTTCATGTGTCTGTTGGCTGCATAAATGTCTTCTTTTGAGAAGTGTCTGTTCATATCCTTTGTCCACTTTTTGGTGGGGTTTTTCTTGTAAATTGGTTTAAGTTCTTTGTAGATTCTTGATATTAGCCCTTTGTCAGATGGGTAGATTGCCAAAATTTTCTCCCATTCTGTAGGTTGCCTGTTCACTCTGATGGAAGCGCTTCTAGTTAAGTATTGTAGGATTTAAGAAGATACATCTCATGTTAAAAACTTTTAACACACAGGCACACACACACACACACACACACATGCAAACATAAAGCAAAGGAGCACAAGAATACACTCAGTACTGAACAAGTTTACCATCTAGAATATGGTGACAGTAATGCAAATGTATACATATGTCCAAACTCCCCAAATTGTATGCATTACTTATGTGCAGTTTCAAGAATTTCCTAGGAAACACTGAAAAAAAAAAGAGTAACAAGGGAGAAATTATCCTGAAGATATTTCTTGAGGATATTTAAAGATGCAATTGAGAATACATACAAGTATATTTACAGTGAGTTGTTTGGAAAAAAGTTTGAATCGATAAAACAATCCAGATGTGAAAACAAAAATGGACAGATTTTACAATATACATTTTTATGTGTTTGTGTATATTTGAAGACATTATAAGTATGTACAAATATGAGATTGAGAGAAAATGTCTCAAATAATTATAATAAGAGATGGGCATTCCTGAAGTAAAAATAATTTCTACAAATTAATAAAAATAGTATATGAACAAGTAATGACAGAAGATAAAGACAGGAGTCCAAAAATATTGTTAGTCACTGATGATTACCCATATTCAAATTAATATATTGTTATACTGCTTTTGTTTTGATTTATAAAAGTCAATTTATTGAGAACATTTAATAATAGACTAGCATTAAAAAACATTCTCATGCACTGCATGTAGATGTGAAAATTAGAATAATCTTTTTAGAATGTATTCTTCTGTATTTGAAAATTAAATATGCATTACTGTTCAGCCAAGGATGCCACTCAACAGAGTATTTTATATCATGTATTAGATTCAAATCCAGTAATGAGTTTAATAGCAAAAATATTTTGGAATTGAAGTTACTTTTTTCATGAAACTGCATCTAATGATTATCTTTATGACATTTAATTCGTTCATTATATTTAGTTTCCCAGCACTATGGAGTTTCACAGACCCATTTGTTATATTTGAGGAGAAAATTTAAGATTTTGAAAAACATAATTACATTAGTATACATTGAAAGCAAGAATAAAAGAGCAATAAATGAGGAGAAAGTATAAAATACTATACTTATTTATTCAGAGACAAAAACAAATTCAATTTAGTTACCCATTGGCTTAGAAAGCCTGAGTTATTACTGATGCAAGGGATCAGAAGCAAACTAGGTGTCCAAGCAACAGATCTGGTGACAAGCATTCACGGACCCAATGCAAGTAAAATTCCTTAAATAAAAAAAAACTGAAATAATGAACAATTATTGGTTTTAGAGCAACAAAATACTCTTACCTAGGAATCAATAGTGCCTTGTGAATTATAAACTAGCAATACTTTTTCTTAATTAATTCAAAGAGTGGAACAAAATTTGATCTCTGATGGAAGATAAAACACTCAGTACTAAGAGGCAAAGCATCCTTTGTTGGTCACCGTTATCCCAGAAGGTGAAACGGAAGTGCTATCCATGCCAAATGAAAAATTTTTAAAAAATTCTGTTTCAGAGTTAATGATCTTTGGACCTATGCATACTTGAGTCTCTCCTGAACTGCTAAATTTTTGTGCTGGATTTTTAGATTTAGGTTAATTCTTCAATTTTTCTAATTTTCATCAGAGGTACTAACACAACTCTAGGGGAAACTCAAAGTAGGTTAAACAAAAAAAAGCTCTTGATTCATCAAACTCTTCCGCCCGAGATCATATATAGTAAATCATCTGATCACCTTCTCGTCTTTTATCAGGATAATTTTATTGGTGCTTCAGGGTCTAATGTTCTTTCGCATTAATTAAAATCTGATGTCAAATGAATATCCTGCTACTCCTACTTTTTCTGCGAGAATGTCCATTAAAAAGTGTGAGGTTTACATTTGAGTATAGTGAGAATTGAAAACAATTTTTCAAAAAACATTCATATTTATAGTGTGTTTTTTTCTGTGAATTTACAGTTAACCCAATTAACTTACTTAGCAAAGATAACTTGTTGCTGTCATGGATATTTCATAAACATAAATCATATTTCAAATATAAATGATATGTAAAAATCAAGGATAAAATTGTAGTTAAGATAAGAAACAAGTTTTCAAATTTATTCCATAAACTTCTCAAAATCAGTGCTTAAATGCATGGAAACACAGAACAGAAACCAAAGTCCGGATGCAAAAATATAGAGTTTAAAGTATATTTTCTAATGTGTAAGTTTTAGAGAAAATACACATTATAATGTATTTTTCCTTTCTTGCCTTCATCATCTAGCAATTTCTTGATCTCCTTCCCACATATTCTCATGACCAATAGGCAAAACACTGTTATATTTTATTAAGGATGGACTGTTTAATAATTTATTCTATAAATATTTAGCAAACAATTACTATATGCAAGTAATTATATAAGGCACAAAAATTATTGAATATATACTGAACAAACACATATTTAGATAATTTGCCTTATTATTTATTCTTTTTAATTCTGTGCCATTTTTATAACTGAAGACATCTTTCTGTATACTATGTGGGTAGAGACTCCAAGAAGATGATGAATGAGAGAGAAAAGAGAGCTTGGCAGATATTCAAACTAAATCAATATTTTCAGAGAGAAAGATTTAGGCAAAACCACGATGCTGGTAAGTGCTGACTGCTTTAGAGTCATGAAAACATCAAGGACTAGCACATTTAGAAATGTGGCATATGCCGGAGTTTAGTATGATTCATGTCCCTTGATGGGTTGTAAATTCAAAAAGATCATTCTGGCTGAATAGATTACAGTAGAGTGGTGTCAACAGCCTGAGGAACCTAGCCAAACAACACTGAACCTGAGCTACAAAGTGCTTTTGGCATTTGTTGTTATTTAGACAATATTGCTATTATAGGGAAAATTTATAGAAAGCATTCATAGAATCTGAGCAATGTATCCCTGAGGTAGAAATAATATGGTGTCAGGGTAAAGTCGGCTAAATGTGAATTCTTTAAAAAGGAGAGCAGGTCCTGGAGTAATGTGATAGCTGCAAGTGGTTTCTTGGGCAAAATGATAAAACACTGTCTGTAAAATATGTGCCATGCCCAAAACATGTTAGGCTGCTTGAATTCTGGGATTTATAAACTAATGGTTTTGCTAAATTTTGTAACTCTGAATCACAAAATAACAATTGTCTGTAACCTATGTGAGTATTTTAGATTGTCATGTTTTAGAATTTCATATAGTTTTCATGCTTTATGAACAAAGTCTTAAGCAATATACAGCCTACTGCTTTCCTTCTATAACTCCTAACCAAGTTAATTTAGCATAGTTCACTGTATCTCAAAAATGAATGTAGCACATTTAGATCAAGGGACAATTATACCAATGGGAATAGTGGATATGCTATGCTTTTTTAAAAAAAGTTTTTTTTCACTCACTCTAAGACAGAAGAAACTTCTACAGTCAAATCTGATCTTATTGGCTCTTAGCATTTTTTGGCTCTCAGCATAAAATGATGCCGTATTCTTTTTAGCTATTCTGAGTTGACAGAATATAACCCCAATGTAGTTATTGAGATTTGAAGGAGGAGAAATAAATAGCAGCACTTGTCGTTATTCAATTCTGAACCAATTGAGAAGACCAAAGAGTAAGCAGAATAGAAGACTAAATAAGACCTTAATTCATGATGCAGCTCACACTGAGGAAAGTGGTCTATAAAACTTTACTTTATTGATTCAAAGACCCACATCACTTTACATTTTCAGTTATCCAAAATCGGGATGCATGTAGAGTCAATGTAGCTTTTCAATTACTATAGTCAGCTGCAATGCATTGTGTATTGGTTAGCTCATGTTTATTTTCTCTTCCAAACTCAATTATTAGATTTAATCACTCATCAAGCCCTAGGGGGAAATTAGTGAAGAGGAGGAAGGCAAAGAAACTACTTACGTACTTATGCCCACAATAGCCAACTTCATTCTCTGCACGTGCTTTCATTTAGTCACTGGAATGCATAATGCATTCCAAACATTATCAGAGTTAATGTTTAATATTCAATAACATACTTTAACATGGCTTTGTCCCACAGCATTCCACATTCATTATCAGTTTTTGTTAAAGACCATGACCTCCGTGACACTTTTTAATGGATATTCTTTAGTCAGCTTAACATTTCAGCTTCAATTGGAACTATTTACCATTTGCTTCTTCTTGAAGTAGTCTCTGACTTTGATCGGAGTGGCAAAAAACTCACACAGATTTTCAATTTCTGCTATAATGAAGTAATTTTGATAAGCCAAAAGTCCTATCCAGAATGGGTAGAATAGCTAGACAAAATAATGAGAACAATGAAAACAATAATGTCACTGAAGAATAAGCCCCTTAGAATGCTCCTGTGGCAATGAAGTCCTTATGATCCAGTACCTAAGATAGAAAGGAACATAGTAAGAATGAGTCAATATTCTCAATATTCTGTTTCACCACTGTTTTTATCCTCCTCTTAGGATTTCACTCTTCTTCATACAGAGTGAGAAAGCTGAGATATCCAGAAGTCAAGAAGTCAGAGGAGATTTCATTAATCTTCACTGGAATGAGAAAACGCAATTTTGGTATTTGTGACTACCAAGGTAAAAAAAAATATTGGGGGCCAAGGTCGCAAAGAAAACAAAGGTACAAAGATATGAGCAGGAGAATTAGTCCATTTTCTTCTTGAGCGTTTGCCAATATATTATACTGTAGTGGAAAAGATGTTGAAAGTCAAGAAGAAAGAATCTAAAAAAGGAGACTAGGCCTTTTTTGGTAATTTAGACCAAATGGAAACAAAATTGCTGGGAAAAAAAAATTTGAATTCAGTACTTGCCGAAAAGAAGAAACTCAATTATACAACAGATATTAATATCTTCTATTTCTATACATCACAGGGGTAAACGTACCAGAAAATCAAACTAGAGAGTACCAAAGAATCACTCAAAGATTACTATCATGGCTTACGTCAGTATTAATGTGGTCTATTCTCATTTTTCATTCCTATCAGAAAATAATGTTCTCTCTCTCTGCAAAATTATAAAGCATCATTGAAATATTTTATATTTTTTATGCATAACGGTGAGGATTAATTTTCTCTGCCAACTTGGCTATACTATGGTGCCCAGTTGTTTGGTCAAATACTAGTCAACTACATGTTGCTGTGAATGTATTTTTAGATGTGATTAACATTTACAATTAGTTGACTTTAAGAAAATGACTTGCAATAATGTGGGTAGATTTTATTCATTCATCTGATGCCATAAGAGCAAGCACGGACGTTTCCCGGAGAAGGAACTCTTTTAGTTAGAGACTGAAACATCAACTCTTATTTGAATTTCCAGCCTACGGGCCTATCTTACAGATTTCATACTTGTGAGTTCTCACAATTGTGTGAATGAATTTATCAAAATTTGTCTCTGTCTCTCCCCTCCCTTTCTCTCTCTCTTCTCCCTCCCTCTCTCTCTCTCTCTCTCCCCTCCTCTGCCTCCATAGATAGATAGATATCTTATTGGCTCTGTTGCTTGGGAGATCCCTGACTCATACAGTAACCATTACAACATTAATGTCTAGGCATACAATAAAGAAGAACAAAAGAAAAAGAAAAAGAAAAAAGTGGATACTAGAAACAGAATCCAAGATGTATAATATACTAGAGTTATCACATGTGTATTTAAAAATAAATGGGAATACTATGTTCTCCAATGTAAAGGATGAATAAAAAATTTTACCATAGAATAGAAATAATAAAGAACCAAATACAAATACTAGAACTGGAAAGGAAGTAATGGCTATTAAAAACACAATAGATTATTTGGGCATGAGATTGATCACAACATAAGAGGATTCCTGTACTAGAAGCCAGATGAGTAAAAATTTCCATGGATGGAAAATAAAAAATAAAAAAGTAGTATGAAAGATATATGACACAGAGTAAATGGATTGATATACATGTAATCAGAGTCTCAGATAAAGATAAAAGAGACAGACACAGTGGGGTAGAAGTTAAAACTTAAGAAGGATGTCCTGAGAATTTTCCAAAACCTATGTGGGGTAATTACTTAATAAAATATAAGAATATTGGGCAAATATTATAAAGCAACTGACTCTACTATGGTGATTTTTTGTTTGTTTTTTTATCATCTCAAAGATTCTATTCTTTTTTCTGCCATACATATTTTAATAAAAGAATTTTATATAATATAGAATTGCACTGTCCATATTTGTTGATAGTACAAGATGAGAGCAGTATATGAAAAAAGCAGCATTCATAGGTATTTTTAAGCAAAGTAATAATAGCCCAGAATCAATAAGCTGATATTAAATATAAATTTAAGTTTCTTATATAATATAAAAAAGTTCAGTTTAGCTCAAATTTCAAAGTCTAGATTTACAGAATTCCATGTTGAAATACTTGAATACCTAAAGAATCTGAACACAATATGAACCATTATTTTAATGCTGTTGACACAGAAATCATGTACTTAAGACATAAAATATAATGATGGGTCACAAAAGAGCCATGATCCTATTATATTTTTACATTTGAAAATGATATGCACCATGTACATTTCTATAACAATGCCACATTTCAAAGGGCATAGGAAATATGTCATACAAGGAATAAGACAAAAAGAAATGTAATGTTTCCATGGTAGGTATGTAGAGAATGTGAAAGAGCTAATTATATAGCCTATAGTTAGTTTGGCATTAATCAAAAAGTGTGTTTAACGTCATGT
The DNA here is from genome assembly GCF_000001405.40 of Homo sapiens. NCBI lineage: Eukaryota > Metazoa > Chordata > Mammalia > Primates > Hominidae > Homo > Homo sapiens. Next base: position 25,282,573 of record NC_000005.10, on the reverse strand, counting down.
TTAGAGATTTTACATAATTTGAAAAATGATTTTGAAGGTGTTTGAATAAGGTTGTGTGGAAGCCATTACTTGAAAGAAGACAGAATAGATTGAGGGGATAAGAATGTTTAGAGCTTATAGTTGCTTATAAGTATACTAATATAGTTGAGGAAAGGAGTACTAAGAGAGTATACTTAGAAAAATGTAGTATAAATTAAACATAAAATTATTTTATTACTTTATGAAGTTCATTACATTTATTTCAAAACCTAATGTTCCATATATAAAAGAATTCTGTTCCACCATTATTTGTTAAGTTCATCTTTAAAGGCACTGCACAAGATATTTTTGAATATGTAAAAGATGTAGACATCATTTCTGTCCTCAAAGAACAACCAAACAAGTAAACACATATTTTTATTATTAGCTTGAGAATTCTAATGCTGCAAGAAAGGTCCTAAATAGCTCTTTAAGTTCGGAGGGAGAAGTAATTTCCATCTGTTTGTGATAGTGGTTATGATGGTGGTGGGAATATAATGGGATTTTTAAAATTTGAAAAGGTCAATTTCCAGAAATTTTTATTTGATTTGTTTGTTGAGGACTGAAACGGAAATGGAACAAATTATGTACAAGCCCAGGGAAAGTATAGGCAATCACCATGATATATTTAGCCAAAACATCTAAAGCAAAAAAAAAAAAAAAAAAAAAGGTTGTGTCGGGTCTTTAGCGACCTTTAATATCAGCGTGAAGTAGTAAAAAATTTGCTGAGTTGTTAAATGTGTCTTTAGATATTTTCCCAGGTCTTTGAATATTGTTCCTTTAGAAAGATTTTGATAGCATTTTCTCAAGGAGAGATTTAAGAATAGCCAGTGTTCTGTCAGTTCTGGTATTGAGCTAATAAGGTCCTGAAGAATAGCATCTGCATTGGGAATATGAAGAAAAGGAGTAATGAAAGGAATATTACAGAGCTAGAATCAGCATTATCTAGGAACTGATTATTCGAATTAAAATGCAGTACACGATGATAGCTTGAAGGCTTCAAGCCTAAATACCTTGAAGGGTTGTGAAGCCATTAAAAGAAATAAGGCATACAATATGAGGGGAGATTTGAAATTAAATCATGAATTAAATTTTGCTCATGCAGAATATGACTCTAGCCCCTAAAATAAAGAGTGCATGAGAAGCGCATGATATTTCCCGCTTGTAAGCAAAGAGAAGATAACTTCTGATAAATAGATACACTGTTATTAGGAATATAGAATTTAATATTACTGAGGGGAAAATCTTTTTTTCCTAAACCATATTTGGTAGATATAAAAGGTGGCCAAAAGTTCCTCCCATTCCTACATACCTAAAAGGTTAGAATGTGAACTTGCTGCTGCTTCTTTCTTCGGAAGGTGGAATCTATCTCTCCACCACTTGATTCTGGGATTTGCCATGTAATTTGCATAGGGCAATGAACCATTAGCAGATATGACAAAAGTGAAGGCTTGAAACACGCTTTTGCACTATAACTTGTCATTTCTGGAACTTTCTTCTAGGCAATCATATGAAGAATAAGACTTAGCCATTCACAGGCATCTTATCTGAGGTTCCAGACATATAAGTGAACCAATGCTATGTTGTCGGCATATGTCTAGATGGAAAGAACTGCTCAGATAACTGTAAGTTTCTTGAGAAATACTATGAAGTGCTGTTTTAGGCCAATGTATTTTCAAGTCACTTATTTCACAGCAAATATGAACCAATACATAAATTGATGTCTACAACTGGGAATTCCGCCGTAACAAAAGCATAAATTATGTGTTTGGTTTTGATACCAGGCACCAGATGCGCTAGATGCACCGCGGAAAAATGACAAGAAATCTGTTAGAAAAGGCTAGAAAAATGACAAGATTTTAGATATCTTTTAAGACTTTTAAAGGGATTGTCGTATAACAATTAGACACCTTTTTAAGACTTTTAAAGGGATTGCCCTATAACAATTAGCCATGTGGTCTAAGCTAGACAGAACTCAGTTTTATAACATTTTTTTGGATGTGTCTTTTGAAACGGAGTGTATTCAAGGTTGACAGAAAACTCACTGTTTATTTCAGAGAGTTGTATAGGTGGATGTAGCAATGACTTGGATTAAATCATAGAGATTGTTTCAATTGCAAAATGGGATCCAACTGATAAAGTTGCATTGACTGTTAGTAACTTCAATCACGGTCCATTTGTATAAAAAGCACAGGTCATTACAGTGGACAGAGTGAAAGTTTCATCAAAGGGTAAAGTCAAAAACCAAAGAGATCAATGAACTGGGAAACAATTTCCAGGAAACAGATTAAATATCCACCTTGAATTTGTAATTGCTTCATATTCTCCTATTTTGAACACAAGCATCCATGTTGATTATTTTCTTTTTGCTTCACTTTGAATGTTGGATCTATGGGGGGTAAATAACTTGTCTTTCTCATTCATTTCTTTGGAATAAGAAACAATGCTCTTAAGGACTTACAGCCAATGAACTTCATCTGTATCTGGACCTAATGCAGCTGGTGAAATAATGAATTGTAAACCCAGTGTCCAAACTGAAAAAGAATTCGGTGGTTCATGAAATAAAGATGAACATGTTTTTATGGGTTAGTGGCTTAGATTGAGTTCTACAAAACATACTCTGAGGAAGTTGCTTGCGTGTTGTTTATTAGTAAATGCTCTTAGAAACAGGTCTTTGGTGGCCTAATAGAAACCTCTTTAGGCAGAGAAAATTTAAACTTAAATGAAGAGAGGTAAACCTTCGAAGTTGACCCAGGCTGTGACAATGAGGCCAAGCCTTTATGCCTAGCATCCATAGATTACTTATGCAACCTTCACTGAAAGATGTATTAGCAGAGGCACTCTCTTAGTATGAAGACAATTCCTAGGAAGGTGTTAACTTTTGAACTTTTTGAATTAAACTCTCCTGCAGCCAGGGGAAAGATTGCTTTTGTCATTAAAGAATGATCTAAGGTACAGATCATATTATCCACTAGAGTGAGGAATGTAACTAATCACTGGCCAGGGACCTGTTGATAAATTGAAAAAAATGCCCAAAATTCCTCCCATGCTTGCATGCATATCCACTTTAAATGTAATTTCAGCATCCCCTCTGTCAAGACAAGAATCTCTCTCCTTGCTTCTTGAATTGGAAGTTGGTCATGCAGCTTTTATTTGCTCAGTGAGATGCTTGAAGACATGTCAAAAAATGAAGATAAAGCCCGGGCGCGGTGGATCACACCTGTAATCCCAGCACTTTGGGAGGCTGAGGCAGGTGGATCACGAGGCCAGGAGATCGAGACCATCCTGACTAACACGGTGAAACCCTGTCTCTACTAAAAATACAAAAAATTAGCCGGGCGTGGTGGTGGGCACCTGTATAGTCCCAGCTACTCTGGAGGCTGAGGCAGGAGAATGGCGTGAACCCAGGAGGAGGAGCTTGCAGTGAGCCAAGATCCCACCACTGCACTCCAGCCCGGGAGACAGAGCGAGACTCCATCTTAAAAAAAAAAAGAGGATAAAGTATCACTTGAAAAGAGAACATGAAGGTCTGCATGGAGACAGAGGTATAGCAATCGGTGTTATTCCACGAAACCCAACTAATGTCTAAGACATGCACCATAGCTATCTTAGATAATTAACTCAGAGTTGTCCCAGAACAGAACTGCCTATCCATCCATAACTCTTAAAAATTTTAAATCATTGTTGCATAAAAGCCACTAAATGTTGAAGTGGTTTGTTTTGCACATAATTGATACACATATCCATCACGTATGTATATATAATTATTCTCTTTGATTATAAATTAATATATTTTTAATTCTATATTGCAGGTTTAAGGAACATCGATTGGCTAGATTATTCAAGGATAAAATTAGCTAACAAAAGTATTAAAAGTGAAGTGAAGTGATAATTTGGAAAAAGTATGAAATAAGTGAAAAAATAAAATGATTTGTGGATAGCACAACCAGTATATGAAACGATCTATAATTGACATGGAAGTACTTGCCCTCATTATTCTATTTGTCCAAGAATAAAATGAATGGAATCTGTGAGCATTTTAAATATGTGTTTATTGCCTAATAATATTCATTTCTCTCATAGGGAAAATGAAACGCACACCATCAGTATGTTTGCAAAAAATAACCATTTGTGAAATAGACCATATGAAATAATTTGAAAAAGGCATGCATTATAAGAAAACTACAGCAGGGCAAAGCAACAGGATACCTTCTGTTACCTGATACCTTCTGTTTAGTTTCTTTTCCATATAAAATATTTACAAAGTCATCATTGTTATATATTTACTTGTATGTTTACAAATTATCTATGTTTGTGGTAGTACATTATTTAAGAATAATGTATATGTATATTATATTAAGAATAATGTATATGTATATACGTATACACATATATGTGTATACGTATATACATATACATTATATTAAGAATATATGTATGTATATGTGTATATATATGCATATACATATATGTACACATATACATATATACATATACATATGTATATGCATATACATGTATGTACACATATACATATATGTATGTATATGTGTATATATTTATACATATGTTATATTATATATGTATAATATATATGTATATATAATATATGTATACATATATTATATAATATATGTATATTATATTATACATTATATAAATATATGTTATATAAAAATAATGTATATGTATATACATATTACTTATATATTATATGTATATGTATACGTATTATTTACATATTATATGTATACATATACATATATACATATATGTTATATTAAAAATAATATATATGTATATACATGTATAATGTACTACCATGAAGATAGATAGATATAGATAAACATATATAGATACATAAATACATATACATATATAAACAATGTATATGTGATGAATTGATAAAATTAGATATTAATTTGTAATTATTCTCAACATCATTGTCACACCTAAATCTCAGTGCACATTAGCGTAAGTCATATCTAAAAACCACAGGTTTTCTAACTCTATTACTTTGGCTCTTTCCTCACATATTGTATACACAGACGTAATATTCTTTTCTGATTAACATAAGTATTTGTTCTTGAATTACATACTATTTCACCAAAAACAACCCTCCTCTAATTAATCATTATTATGAAAACAAAATCTATTGTGCCATAATATTTGTGACAAATTACCAATTTTCCTTATTAAGATATGTTCAGAATCAAATGATGACCTAACAGAATGTTTAATTATTCACTGAGATGAACCTCTGTGTTAAATTCTTTAAATTACAGATTTTTTATATAGTATGCAAAACAAAGAGAAATTTAAGCTTGCCCTAGTATCATCTGTCCCTAAAAAAGTATGTCAAAACTGATCACCATTTTGACTTCATGTGAGGTCTCATCTTTTACTCTAGGTGCATCTGCTATATATCATCAGGGACAAAATTATTTGAAAGAATATCATAGTGTATCACTTTTATTCTATATGTAAATAGGTAGGGTACGTACTTTTTATGAACACTCATTTAACATTTCTTCCATAAAATAGTTATAGTATATATAAAAGCACATCCAATTGACTGTAAAATATGTCATCACTATATTTTAAGTTCCAGATTAAAAACACAGAAGTAATCATGGGTAATTTTTATTTTATCAAATAGAGTAATTCTTAAATAAGTAAGCATACACCCAAAAAATTACACACAGAATGCATAATATTTGGTAAATTTTAAAAAATATTCTTTTATGAAACTACTCAGGCATGTAAAAAAGTTATAAATTAATTTTTAAAGTTATATTTAAATACTAACATAAAACTTAAGAGCAAAGTACATTTTTATGACACATACATTAAGAACGTATTTTAGAAATGGAAAAAAAACTTCCTAAAACTGGAAAATTTAATTAAGAAGCCACCCATATTGATCAAGTTGCTGATTAATCTCATTGTTTTTCAGTGTCCAAGATGGAAGCTGTTATTTTGAGGGAGTTTCTGAAAGGTCTAAGAGAAAAATTCCCCTGGGTTGATGGGACAGGTATCCAAAGCAATCCAAACTATCATTACAAGCCTGAGACACTCAGCATACAAGGATCTCCTCAAGCTCCCTGACTCTCTCTTTAGGTAGTGCTTTTCAGCTCTGGGAGGATGCTACTGCCCACTTCATCTTATCCATGGCTATAGGGGGCAAAAGACAGGGGGCCAGTTCCATGGGAAGGAAGATAGTTTTGCAAATTTCTATAGCTAATGAGGATATAAACAGTTAATTTATTTTTTTTGAAATAGTTAGAAATCCATTATAAGACAAAGTGGGAGTTAATGATTCCTCCACCACTTCAATACTAGGTTATGTCAAAGTTCAGACCAAATGTTTTCACACATCAGTTATTTATTCAATATTCAATACCAACAATACCATTATTTTTAAAATAACAAAACACCAGGAAGCTAGAACTGCTAGAACAGTTTTGTGTTCACGCAACCTAGTCCATAAACTGGATGGAGTTCAAGCTTCCTAGCATTTTGTTTTAGTTTTTAAAGGTTTTAGACCGCATGCTGCAAATAAGGAGAAGAGATGCTTGTTATTTTGATGATTACATTTACAAGGAACAGGTTGAGAAATGCAACAAAAAGAATCTTGAAAATTGCTATCATCTAGAGGGTACAGTGATTTTAGAGTGACTAAAAGTGTATGTTTTCTTAATGCACAGTAATTTTCGATTTAGGTATTGTTTTTGAGATACAGGTGCCTTGCAGTGAGGCATACTAAGGAGATGCCCTGTGTATGTCCTTGTGAATGTATCTTCTCTGAAATGCAACCTTTGTTTTTACCTAATAAAGTGTGCAATGTAGTATTTTCAAGGTAGAAAAGCAAAGGATCTGTGCAATAAAAGAATAGTTCATTTCATTATTCACTATTTGGGAGAAATTAAGAAGCTTAATTGTTTTTTTTTTTTTTTTTTTTTTTTGAGACGGAGTCTCGCTCTGTCGCCCAGGCCGGACTGCGGACTGCAGTGGCGCAATCTCGGCTCACTGCAAGCTCCGCTTCCCGGGTTCACGCCATTCTCCTGCCTCAGCCTCCCGAGTAGCTGGGACTACAGGCGCCCGCCACCGCGCCCGGCTAATTTTTTGTATTTTTAGTAGAGACGGGGTTTCACCTTGTTAGCCAGGATGGTCTCGATCTCTTGACCTCATGATCCACCCGCCTCGGCCTCCCAAAGTGCTGGGATTACAGGCGTGAGCCACCGCGCCCGGCCAGAAGCTTAATTGTTTAAATGCAGTTGTATTAATTAATATTAATCTGTAAATATATATTTTCTTAAAATAGTCAAATATGAGACTAAATTATTGACTTTCTAGTGACTTATTAAATAGATATTATATATTTCTAACCTAGTATTATTTATTAGAAAAGCTTTCACTTATTATATTAGGTAAGAATTTATAATTTTGAATATATTTTGCATAGCTTAGTTGATTTCTCAATTGCACATGTGTATATATGTACATATATATGAATAAACATAGTATGAATTTCTAGATTTGCTATTGTAGACCAGAAACACAAACAAAAACATGTAATTTATTCCATATCCTACTTTTCTATTTATAGTCATCGTATATCAGTTAAGGCACAAAGTATATGGAGAAACAGTACAATTTTTCTGTACCGTTTTAACTAAAAAATAAGATACACATTGGCAATTTAAAAAAATAGTATACATTTACAGTGAATTCCATATATATCTATAGATCTGTCTGTATTTGTTTATATTTCATCCTCATCTATGTATTTTGAAGTGGCAATTATTAGAAGCCATATATTAACATTTAATTTATTAACAGGGTTCAGGTCCTAGATTAAATATCACATCCAAATAGTGGGTTTGCTCCTCATTTCCCTCTTCCCCTCATATAGCAACTATGATGTCTCTTTATCACAGGTATCATGATGATGATGATTTGTGTGATTATATTTCCACTATATCTCCCTTGATGAATCAATCTAAGGGTAAAAAATTTTTATCTTTCTTTTTGGCTGTATTATCAAGCTGGTTGGTGTCATAAGGTCAGTAATTGATTTAAATAAAACCGTTGCTCACATAAATAAACTCCCTAACCAGAATCTGTGACAATTTATGATATAAAATATATTAGATAAATCTAAATCAGTCTCATTATTCAGGGTCAGTGTGGATATTTAGTTTAGCTGTGCTGGATTTTTATTTCTATTCAATAAAAATCAAATGACATTTTACAAACATCTCCCTCAGCTTACAAAGCTTACTATACATAACAATTTGTTATTTTGGCAAAATTTGTCAATGCAATACACATGCTGAAATAAACAAAAGTATTAAGGCTTAGGATTATATTTCATGTTATTTTACATTAAACATCTTTTCTAATTTTACATAAAAAGTATTTTTAAAACTAATACAAATTAATAAAAATATAGAAAGTGCACAAGTACAAGTCTATGAATCTTTAAAAGTCATTCTCCATTAACTCACAATACAGGGAAGAGTCTATGCTAATATTTTCATTTATTGTTCTAAGTAGTTTTTCCTCTCCTGTGAAACTATATAGTAATCAATATGGATGTGGATTTGGTTTATAGTACTAGAGATTATCCATTGATGAATTATATATGTACTTATGCATATATATAGTGTGCTTATATATATGTAGTTATGTGCATGTAACTGTGAATGGATAACACATATTATAGATATACTGTAAGGCAGCATATGTATTTGAAATTTGTATCATAATTTAAATTTTTGTATTTGTTTAAAATACTTGATACTTTTTTATGAAATTCATTTTAGAATAATTTTTAATTGTTAGACCACCTTTCTTCTCTTTACTCAACTTAAGTGATCTCAATCAATATACAATCTCCACACAGCATCTGTTCCTCTTTCATAGGAAAGAATTGCCAGTGATGAGTAAGTATTCATTGACGTGGTAGTGAAATAATGACTAGTTTAAATGACTTATTCTTACCCATTTTTTGAATAATCTATATCTATGTATCTCCAATATTAACAGCTAAGTCCATTCCTTATTATTTGAACCTTAATGCTGTTCTTGTTTTCAGTTAAGGGATATGTGTTACCTACTATACAAAATCTATCAACATTTTCCTTTTTTGTCATTTATCATATGTTGCATCTTCTGCATCAGTGTAGGAAGAGGGGCAGCATTAAAGGCAACATGAGAGTGAAGAGTGTTCTGGGAGGTTATCAAGTCAACATCACATCACTTCCACCTGTCATTTGCCAGTGGTATCTTGCATGCCTCCCAATCTGGTTTTGCTGTTATAATAAAATATCTGAGACTGAGTAATTTACAAATAATGGAAATTTGTTTCTCACAGTTCTAGAGCCTGGAAAGTTCAAGAACTAGGTGTTTGTAGGTTTTGGGTCTGGTGAGGGCTGATGTCTGCTTTTAAGATTCTGTCTTGAATGCTGTGTTCTTACATGGCAGAAGGAAAGGAGGACAAAAGGGTCTAGCCAATTGTCTCCAACCCTTTAATAAGGCACTAATTTCATCCATGAGGGCTCTCCCTTCACGGCCTAATCACCTTCTAAAACACCAGCCTCTTAATACTGCTGCATTGGGGATTGAGTTTCAACATGAATTTTGTAGGGAGCGCAAACATTCAAACTATAGCAGCATGCTACTATATATAGTTTGTTTGTTTGCTTCTTTTGTACTCATTTTTATTACCATACAGCAAAGGGTACCATGAACCATGAAGGAAGAATTATCTTGACATTTTTAGGGCTGGGTAATATAATATTTTGATTCATCAAAATAGTTTTTCAATATTGAGTGTATATTAGGTATTTATACACAGAGCTACATCAATAAATAAGCAAAGAGCTTACTCTATTATTGGAGACAGGAAATAATATGCACATATTAAACAAAATGACTTAAATGTACATTAATGCTATTAGTAAACATGGGAGAGGCTAACATCATAGAAAATTGTGAGAGTGCCTAATGTAGTAGAGTGGTCAAAGTAACTTTCATGTTTAAATTTTGAGCTGAGCTTTGAATGACAAGAAAGAAGTAATCATGAAATTTTGGAGGATGAGCATTGAATACATGGGGATTAAAGAAGATACGTAATGATGCATTACATTTTCTGAAAAATAAAACTATAGTAGTTAGTAAGGCAGAGAACCTGAGAAGTGATCAAGGAGGACAGTAGGAATCAGATAACATAGTTATTTTAAATTTGTTTCTCAGTAAGATATAAACTTCATCTAATATATGTATTTGCAGTCAGAAAATGGGGTTTGGATTTTAAAAAAGACAAAATAACAAGATGTAGGTTTTAGGAAAAGCTGTGACATTACCTCATATATCTATATCTATCTATGTCTATATCTCTATATATACACGCGTGATACGTGTGTATGTATGTACATATGAATGAGTTAGATGCGAGTCAAGTGTCAAGTGTAGAGATGAATCAGGACATTCTTGGAATAATTTGTCCATGTGATAATGTATATTTAAAATGCTGACTTACAGAATACAACAGTGCTGAAAAATATCCAAATTATTTATACACCTAATTAATATTGTGATTTTTACTGCCAAGAGTTTTAAATGATAGTACTGTAGCAATATTTAAATAAAAATTTGTTTAACAATTTTAATATTCAAAAAAGACATTAAAAGTATTGCCTATGTTCTAATATTATACTACACATTAAAGCTATGATTTAAAGTTATATCTCATGATATAAGATGATGTTTATATCTCACTGAAAGGCAGATTTTAAAATAACCTGTATATGTATACTTCTATTTAAATATAATTGTATGCCACTTTTGCCTGTGCTAATATTATTTTCCCCAAATCCCCCTTAAGTGGAAAAGAAGGAATAAAGTGAAATATTAACTTATGAATTATAAAGAATTAGTGAGTTTCGTTCCCAATTATAAGAGGGCATGAATAACTGAACATATATCAAGGCTTGCTGAAATATTATAGTAATTAAATTGATTAGCATTAAAATAATAATATGAAATTAGAAACTGTACTACACAATAAAAATATAATAACTTGTGGAATTGATATTTCAACTGATAAGTAAATAATTTTGATAGACAAGCAGTTATCCAGATTTTTTTAAACGTAGGTTCCTAGTTTACAATACATGCAGCAATAAATTAGAGGTTCTTCCAAAATGTAAGAACAAAATTTGAAATATGTGAAAAAATGTAAAAGAAAAGCTATAATTAGGGAAGGTTTTCTTAAGACAGAAAAGTGCAAACTACAAAGAAAAAGTTCAAAATTGTGAATAAATTAATACTAAATGTTTTAATAGCAAAGTAACCATGTGATATTCTGAACAAAGTAAACTGAGAAATCATAGAGAAACATTGCTACAAATTGTCTTAAGCCATTTGTGTTTCTAAAAAAGAACACCTGAGGCTTGGTAATTTATACAGAAAAGAGGTTTATTTGTTTCATAGTTCTATAGGCTGTATAAGAAGCATGGCTGTGTAAGAACCCATAGTTCCATGGGCTGTATAAGAAGCATGGTACCACCACCTGCTTTTGGTGAGGGCTTCAGGGATCCTCCTCTCACGGCAGAAGGTGAAGGGGAGCAGGTATCACAGGGTGAAAAAAAGGAAGCAAGAGAGAGGAGGGATATGCCTGATTCTTTTAACAACTGGATCTCATGGGAACTTGGAGTGAGAACACACTCAATACCACAAAGACAGCACCAAATCATTCATGAGTGATCTGCCCCCATGATCCATATTCCTCCCAGCAGGCCCTACTTCTAACAATGGGGATCAAATTTTAACATGAGATTTGGAGGCGATGAATATCTAAACTATATTTAAAAATTCCAAAAATAAATAAAATGCAGTGATTCAAGACAAATTTTTAAAAAGCAAATGATTCTATCACAATTTGAGCAAACTTGGGCAAAACCTATGATCGGACGTTTTCTAGAAAAACCACAACACAGACAACTCGCTATTAACCAGTTGTCAAGGAAATTCCAATTCATCTACATGAGATACCATTTTAAATTTGGATTATTGAAGCAGTGGCAACTTTCATACATGGTTGATAATGTTGACATCTGTAAAACAACTTAGAGTGGCAATTGGGAGAGGTCATCCAAAGATGGAATGAACATACTCTACCCTATCCTAAGCAACATGGCAGGAAAAAAGGATTCCCTGAGATCCATCCCTAATCTTCACAGCATGAACAACAGAATTTCTACCTGGATGACATTAAAATACATGTAAAAAAGAATTCCAACAGGGCTTTTAGAAGAGATTAAGAGGCTGGATATTATTTTTTTTATGGAAGAGCAAGAATTAAATTAAAGCCAAGACACTGGTGAAAACACAAAACATGTTAAGGGACAGTCCCTACCAGATATCCTGACCTACTATTATGTTGTATTTTCTTAAATCAGTAGTTTTATATCTATCAGGGGATGTACATTACCTCAAAATGTCAGTAACAGCACTGTTGTTAATTTAAAAAGCACGGGTAGGAAAAAAGTGTCAAAGAAATATATGCTAATATAATTGATAAATATGTTGTGATCTATTCATATAATGGAAAATTACAGAGCTGGGAAAATGAAAAAATGAAGGAAATAAAGTTGCAAGCATCTGTGTAGATGGAACTTAAACAAAATTTTTAGAATAAAATAGATATCAGAATCTCTGGGACAAAGTCCAGGCAGTGTTAAAAGGGAAATTTGCAGCCCATGTCAAATACTTAGAAAGATCTTGAGTTAACAATCTAACATCACAACTAAAAGAAATAGAGAAACAAAAGCAAACAAATAACAAAACTAGCAGAAGACAGGAAATAACCAAAATCAGAGCTGAAATGAAAGAGCCGGAGACACCAAAACCATTCAAAAGATCAAGGAATACAGGAGCTGGGTTTTTTTTAATTGAAAAAATTAATAAAATAGACCACTAACTGAGAAAAAAGAGAGAAGATTCACATAAATTTAATCAGAAACTACAAGGAGGATATTACCGCTTACCCAACAGCAATACAAATAGCCATCAGAGACTATTATGAACACATCTACGCACATAAACTAGAAAACCCAAAAGAAATGGAAAAATTCCTGGACACAAACAACTTCTCAAGACTAAACCAAGAAGGAACTGAATCCCTGAACAGAGCTATAATGAGCCCTGAATTTGAGACCATAATAAATAGCTCATGAACAAAAAGAAAGCCCAAGACCAGACAGATTCAGTGCTGAATTCTACCAGATGTACAAAGAAGAGCTGGTGCCATTCCTACTGAAACTATTCCAAAGAATTGAGGAGGAACTCCTCCCTAACTCATTCAATGGACAGCATCATTCTGATACCAAAATCTGGCAGAGATACAAAAACAATAAAATAAAAACTTCAGGCCAATATTCTTGATAACCATCAATGTAAAATCCTCAACAAAATACTGGTAAACCAAATCCAGCAGCACATCAAAAAACTTATCCAGCACTATCAAGGAGGCTTTATCCCCAGGATGCAAGGTTAGTTCAATATAAGCAATTCAATGAATATAATTCATCACAGAAACAGAATTAAAGACAAAAACCACATAATGATCTCAATTGATACAAAGGCTTTCAATAAAATTCAACATCCATTCATGTTAAAAACTCTCAGTAAATTAGATATTGAAGGAACATAGATGAAAATAATAAGAGCCATCTATGACAAGCCCACAGCCAACATCATATTGAATGGGCAAAAATTGGAAGAATTCCCCTTAAAACTGGCACAAGACAAGGATGCCCTCTCTCTCCACTTCTATTCAACATAGTATTGGAAGTTGTGGCTCAGGCAATCAGGCAAGAGAAAGAAAGAAAGGCATTCACATATGTACAAAGGAAGTAAAACAATCCATGTTTGTAGATGACATGATCCAATATCGAGAAATACCCATAGTCTCAGCTAAAAAGCTTCTTAAGTTGATAAACAATTTCAGCAAAGTTTCAGGGTAAAAAAATCACTGTGCAAATATCACAAGCATCCCTATGCACCAAAAACAGTCAAGCCAAGAGTCAAATTAGGAATAAACTCCCATTCACACTTGTCACAAAAAAGAATGAAATACCTACAAACACAGATAACTAGAGAGGTGAAAGATCTCTACAAGCAACACTACAAACCACTGCTCGAGGAAATCAGAGATGACACGAACAAATAGAAAAGCATCCCATGCTTATGGATAAGAAAAAATAAATATTGTTAAAATGGCCATACTGCCAAAAACAATTCATGAATTACATGCTATGTCTATTAAACTGCCATTGATATTCTTCACAGATGTAGTAAAAACTATTTTAAAATGTATATGGAATAAAAAAGAGCCCAAATAGTTAAGGAAATCCTAAGCAAAAAGAATGAAAATGGAGACATTATGATACTTGACTACAAACTATATAAAAGGGCTACAATAACCAAAACAGCATGGTACTGGTACAAAAACAGACACATAGACCAATAGAACAGAATAAAGAACCCAGAAATAAGGCCACATGCCTACAACTACCTGATCTTCCAAAAACTTGACAAAAACAAGCAATGGGGAAAGGATTCCCTATCCAATACGTGGTGCTGGGATAACTGGCTAGCCATACGTAGAAAATTGAAACTGGACCCCTTTCTTACACCATATACAAAAATTAACCCAAAATGGTTAAAGACTCAAATGTAAAACCCCAAACTATAAAAAAAATCCTGGAAGACAATCTAAGCAGTACCATTCAGAACATAGTCATGGGTAAAGATTTCTTGATGTAGATGCCAAAAGCAATTTCAACAAAAGCAAAAATTGACAGATGAAATCTAATTAAACTAAAGAGCTTCTTCAGAGCAAAGAAAACTATCAACAGAGTAAACAGGCAATCTACAGAATGGGAGAAAATTTTTCACACTATACACCCAACAAACGTTGAATATCTAGTCTCTATAAGGAACTTCAATAAATTTACAAGAAGAAAACAAGCAACCCATCAAAAATGGACAAAGGGCATGAACAGACACTTTTCAAAAGAAGACATACATGCAGCCACTAAGCATATGAAAAAAAAAATCAACATCACTGATCATTAGAGAAAAGAGAAACAAAACCACAATAAGATACCATGTCACACGGGTCAGAATGGCTATTATTAAAAAGTCAAAAAATAACATGCTGATAGGGTTGTGGAGAAAAAGGAATGCTTATACACCTTTGATGGGAATTGGAATTAGTTCACCCATTGTGGAAGACAGTGTGAGGATTCCGGAAAGACCTAAAGACAGAAGTACCATTTGACTCGGCAATCCCATTACTGGGCATATACTCAAAGAAAAATAAGTCATTCCATTATAAAGACATGTGCATGGGTATGTTCATTGCAGCACTATTCACAGTAGCAAAGACATGGAATCAAGCTAAATGCCCATCAGTGGTAGACTGAATAAAGAAAATGTGGTACATGTATACCATGGAACACTATGCAGCCATAAAAAATATTGAGATCATGTCCTTTCAAGGGACATGTTTGGAGCTGTAGGCCATTATCCTTAGTGAAAATGCAGGAACTGAAACCAAATATCGCATGTTCTTGCTTATAAGTGGAAACTAAATGACGAGAACACACAGACACATAAAGGGGAACAACACACCCTAGGCCCTATCAGAGGGTAAAGGGTGGGAAGAGGAAGAGGATTAGGAAAAATAACTAATAGGTACTAGGCTTAATACCTGGGTGATAAAATAATCTCTACAACAAACCCTTATGACAAAAATTTTCCTAGGTAACAAACCTGCACATGTACCCCGAACTTAAAATAAAAGATAAAAACAAAGAAAAAAAAGTCATAAGGGCAGGTTATATTTTTTAAAAGTTGGAAAATTCACAAAAGACCATTGCTTTTAGAATCATAAGTTATTTTTAAAATTTAAAAATATTTAACTGAAATTTAAATAATTATTTTGGAATAGGAGGAAGGATATTCTTAAAGGGAGGGAGGCACTGGCAGTGTTCTCTTTATCCACCTGTGTGGTGTTTTCACTGAGAATTTTTAATCGTGTTAGAAACATATTTACATTTTATAAACTTTATTGTGTGAATTTTATACAATAAAATATAACTGGTAAGTTGTTAATAGCTATTTATTTTAGTAAAGATACTGTATTCATAGTCACCGTGAAATTTATTTTCTGTATATCAACACTAAAATTTAAGTTTTAAAAATTTAAAATTACATTGGGTTTTAAATATAAAAATAAAATGTAAGATAAGTTAAAATACAAAATTATATGGGAATATTGGAGACATATTTCATGTAAATATATTTTTCTATTTTTAACTTATCTTTGATGATTGAAAATAAATTATAATTTCTCTTTGAAAACTTTGAATAGCTCTTAATAATAATATTGCAAAAATACACACAAATACACACACACTATCTTTTTATTAATTTAAAATACACCTAATTTTAGTCTCTTTAGTTGTGATGCATTCAATTATTTATGTAATACAATTTATTATTAAGATGTATCTAAATACATTTTATAGTTATTAAAATATCTTAAGCTTTTAAATATTTCATCTTTGCATTGTGCTCTAATATGATAATTCATTTAACATTGTTTTATTTCTTGACTTTCTGCTTTAGAATTGAATTTGTTTTATAACTTTACAACCATAATAATAATAAAACACCGAGAGAAACAAATAATAATTCATTTTGAGAGCATCTATTCAGAAAATTGCTACATCTTTGAACTTTAAAACAATATCATATATTTGATGTAGTAATTGATAAACTATGCTAAGATAGTAAATATTTATTTCAGGAGGTGTTTTACATTTTTATTCATTTCTTACAGAGAAAAAAAACTCTTTTTAACTGCGTCTTATGCAAAACACTTCTGTAAACAGTACACCAAAGATTATGAAATAGGAACATGTAACTTTTGAACAAATAACTATCCTAAGGCTATGAATGAGAGGCAGAATAGTACGTGGAATATTTTAAATAAGTTATATATGAGAAGCAGAGTGCAAATATTGAACAGGAGATGAAAGCAGAGTCAGAAGTTGCAGCCTTCGGATTTGATAGTTTGATGGTTGTATTTGTCAGGGTTCTCCAGAGGAAAAAAGAAAAAGAAAAAGAAGAAAGAGAAAAAAAGAAAAAAGAAAAAAAATTGCGCGCGCGCGCATATGTGTGTGTGTGTATGTGTGCGTGTATGTGTTGGGGAAGGATGGAAGAAAGATTAACTGTATAAGTTATTATTTTTGGTCGTTTTCCAGGGTTCTTCAATGAGGAAACCCAGCCTCCCCTTTGCTTCATTCAAGGGGTTCTGGCTCTGTAAACTGGTTCAAATCTGAACACTGAAAGTCTGCGACTCTCTGTTTTATCATTTGTGTTAGACTTCTGTTTGCTTGGCCTAAAAGTTTTCTGCTCGTACAGATAAAGTACAAATTTAGTAGTCTTCCTATTTTTCTCACTTCCCGGAATGCCATAATTAACTGGCCAATGCCAGAGGTCTATGGGTGAGACAATTTTGATAGCTTTTTTGACTTCGTTATCCATCACAGTAACCACACTCACATTAACTTTGGAGGTTGGGTGCTGCCACTTGGCCCCTGGCCCTCCAATGTCTAATTATTGAAGTTAGGTTTTCTAATTAAGTGTTTCCAGTTCTTATTGCAGGGTCTGGCCTACATAGAAGAGTGATCACTGAACTCATTAAGGATGTTGGGGTCCCCTCACCAATTTATTTATCAAAGTATTCATGAAATTATGTCTTCTGGGCCCTCCCAGTGTGGATGAATATGTCTTAAATAACAAACTCAATTTTAACATTATTCTTTTTCTAAGCTTTTGAGTCCTCTCCTCCATATTAAATCAATAGAGATAGGACATTCTTTTCTTTTCTTTTCTTTCTTTTTTCTTTTCTTTTTCTTTTTTTTTTTTTTTTTGAGACAGAGTCTTGCTCTGTCGCCCAGGCTGGAGTGATGGAGGTTCTTCGGTGACCCCTTTATACTTGGCTATCTCACTTTTTTCCACCTCCAATCTGAGGGTATAAATCCCACATTTCCTGAGGGAAAGGGAATGGCCTCCCCTAAGGCAGTTACCTTGTAAGACAATTCTGATTCTTCTTAGAACCAGCACCTATCATTCCTCCTTGCTTCGAGAAGTATAAGTAGACTCAAGTATCAGCAAGTACCTAAACGCGAGGTACAAAGCATGACCCATCAAGAGTATGCTAACTCCAAAAAAATCTACGTGAGTTTTTAAAGTTCTACAAGCAAATTCTGGAGAAGAAGTGTCGGAATGGATATAAATGATTAGGATAATGGTGGAAAGAACACAAAGTTGAATCATTTTGAATGTATTGATATGTTCTCACTGAGCAGAGAATCTGCATTTACTGTTGAAGCTACAGGAGTTAGTAAGGGCTCTGACAGTTTAGTTGGCTGTCCGAAATATGCAACAAAAGATGACCCATCTTGAGCTAATTGAAAATGCCCAATCTGGGCTGGGCTCTGTGGCTCACGCCTGTAATCCCAGCACTTTGGGAGGCCAAGACAGGCGGATCACTTGAGGTCAGGAGTTCGAGACCAGCCTGGCCAACATGGTGACACTCCATCTCTACTAAAAATACAAAAATTAGCTGGGCGTGGTGGCGGGCGCCTGTAATCCCTCAGCCTCAGGAGGCTGAGGCAGAAGAATCACTTGAACCCGGGAGGCGTAGGTTGCAGTGAGCCGAGATCGTGCCACTGCATCCGGCTTGCACACTGGAACGAGTGCACACTGCAGTAGAGCCTTGGAAAGTTTGCGTCATGTGCAGGGGGCAGGAGCCTGGCCTCTCCTGTTCCAGGGTGGTACCTGGGATTCAATCTGTAAGGCAGGAAACCGGCTTGCAGGACTCTCGCTTTGCTGAGTCCCTGTTTTCCTTTTTTTTTTTTTTCCTTTTCAGCTAAACGTTCAATTTTTTTTCCACCCTTCAAAATGTCTGCAGGCCTAATTTTTCATGGTCGTTTGAGAAGGACCCCACTTTTAGCTGAACTAAGGAGAAACTCCTACAACAAAAGGATACTACTATGGGTGGTGAGACAGCTAAACGCAGTCCGGGAGAGGCTACTTCTCAGATGATCCGCCTCCCTCGGCCTCCCAGAGTGCTGGGATTACAGGCGTGAGCCACCACGCCCGGCCTGAGAAAAATATATTATGCCTTCCATGTGTATTAGGATCCTATAAACATGAGTTGAACAGCACAAGCTGCAAAAGTTAAGAACTAAAGTCTTGAAGTAATTCTGATCAACTGGATAACGGCAATAATGGTAAACCATTCCATATCCACTTGATAACAGTAAATAAAATCTTCTACAGTTATCAATGAAAGATATTTTGTTCCAACACTATCATTTCAAAACAGAAATAGGGAAACATCAGGGATTATATTTAGCTAATTTATAAGCACCAAGACCTGGAATACTATCTCAGCATCATTTGAAGTCTGTTGGAAAGGGTTACACTGGATCAGAGTTCTGGAAGACATCGGATTCAAAAATGTTTTCCATAAAAGAGCCACATAACAAGACTGGGTAGAATTTTAATTGCCTAAGCTAGGATTACATAGACTAAAAATAACATAAACTATAATTGAATTTAAGAAAGTAGTGTTAATTTACCAGGACAGAATTTTCAAGACACAATTGAAATAAAACCTAGATACTGAATATTCTTTGTAGAGGATAGAAAATGAAAAGAGGTTCCACATTAAAAAACAAAACCACAAAAAGTTTCATTTTCTCAGTTGGAAACTGTATAATGTCTGCTTCTTAAAAACAATTTGGGAAACTCTTTGAGTGGAACACTTTAATCAAGTTCACCACATAGACTCATTTGTTAGGCTAATGGTAAATTATATTTAAATTATTATATTTTGAGTCCAAACCAGAGTAAGAACTGTAGATAGTGGGTGTTCATGAATGCAGCTGTGAGGAAGTGTGCATAACAGCAGAAAGACAATGTCGACGTCCATATATACATACACACTTTCCTAAAGTGAATTATGAGAGTAGCTATGTATAGAGTAAATATTTATTGCAGTAAAGAGTACATGCAAAGTGTTTATTTTGCTGGAAAGCATTGGGCAAATAAGAAACTGTTGAATATTCAGTATCATTCTCTTATCAATGAGATTATCATGTAAACAAAGATATTCTTTTCCTCCAAGAAGAGAAGGAAAATGGGAAGCATTCCTTGTGTCTGGAGTCACATATAATTATTACACAGTGATATAATGCCAAAGCAATAACACTAAATAAAACAAAAACCAAACATAAAATAGAACATTCTCTCCTTACACTAACTTCTAAAAGAATACATTTGTAGATTGTGTATTGCTGTATCCCCGCCCGCCCCCCCAACACCCCCAGCCGGGGAATAACTTAAAGAAAACTTATGTAATTATTCAGATCATGAAATGCTCTTTGTGTCACATAGAAACTTGTTTCTCTCATTTAAAAAATATGATATAAAGGCAAGTTATGAGCCTAAATTGCTGCTTTCATATTCTTATTTTCAAACATTTCTTAAAATGTGAATTCATTGATTTATATAAGAAAATTTGTTAAATCAAGCAAAATTGATTTGAAAATGGATCAGACTCTTATTTTGGGAATGTGATTTTGCTCAAGGCAAGGGATTTGTTCCCTGAGGTTTACGTTTGGAGGATTTCTCAACCAAAGTCTAATCTTCCATTGGGGGATAAACTCCTGCAGGTCCATGACTGTGCCTTGTGCTTATTCAGATCCCAAATGTTCTTTGTATTGCCTAGCAAGACATACATATCATCTAGCAAACTTACAAGATAATTTCCTAATTTGAAGTTAACGTACCGAGATATCACCATTTCTAAAGCGATATGATACATTATTTTATTTAATTAGAACAGTTGATGGTATCAGTAATGATATGACACTTGACTCTTGAAAAATACAAGGGTTAGGATGCCATTCCCCCACTCCTTCACAGTGGAAAATTTCGGTGTAACTTCAACTCCCTCCAAAACTTAACCACTAATAGCCTACTCTGGACAAAAGTAAACAATCAATTAACAAATATTTTGTATTCTGTATGTATTATATAATGTATTTGTATGACCAAGTAAGTTAGAGGGAAGAAAATGTATCTATTATTTAAGTAGAAGTGGATCATCATAAGGGTCTTTTGTCTGAATGTCTTCACTTTGAATAGGCTGAAGTGTGGGGGAGGGATTGGTCTTGCTGTCAGGGGAGGCAGAGGCAGAAAATGTGGTAGAGATACAAGGCGAGGCAGAAAATGTGGTAGAGATAGAAGGCGAGGCAGAAGACGTAGGCATATTTGGTGTAACTTTTTTTGAAAAAATCCATGTAGAAATGAATTTGTGCAGTTCAAACTTTTGTTGTTCAAAGGTCCACTGTATTTGAAATAATTATCAGAAAACACACTTTGAGGGGTTGTTAGGACAAGGTCATTTTGGTTGCAGGAAACAGAGCTCAATGTTTTTTGAAAAAACTAGACTTCCAATGCTTCGAGGAATGTGAAAAGCATTTCTCTTCAGCTACAGAGAAGCCTCACACATTTTTCATATTTTTTATTTAGAAAAGACAGACAAATTGTCTCCGTGTATTACTGTACTACCCATCATTTTACTCCAATTGGACCCCACATTAATCCAGCTTTTTGAGGCTAGAAGAGACAATTTTAGACACTGTGTTGATTGTAATCATAGCAATTTTATTCTCACTCCCCTAAATGAGATGGTTTCCTATGTAATTACCTTTTGCTTTTTCTCAATAATATAAAATATTATCCTGAATGCATCTTCTGTAACATGAGAAATTCAAGTTTGGTTTGCTTGTACTTTATTTTCTTGCCTTAAGTTGAGATATTTAGGTCTGTAAACAAAGGAAAATTGTGTTGGATAACTGTACATTAAAAATATAGGTAATTTTGTTAGGTTATTAAGATTACCTGACAAACATAACCTACTTACCTAACCTACCTACCTAACCTAACCTACCTAACCTAAAAATGTTAGGTAAAAATTTTAATTACCTAACATTTACCAGTCATAACTGTCTTAATCTCCTTTATTTTAATGTATTTAAGTATAAGAAGATCCACATAACTGGCTAAACTCATATAACCTTTTTAAGATCTGTACTGCAATTATTGCTATTATTACTGATACTTTTGTTGTACTGTTTGTCTTGTGACATGGGTAATTAAACATCAACACGTTCTATATATTTTAACATGCTTTGGATAAATTTCAAACTTTCTACATTTTACTCACATTTCTCTCATGGCCTTCATAGAAAGTGGTAACAAATGTGACAGTGGCAATGAGAGCTAAAAGACACCAATACATAGCTGAAAATATATTTTTCTGAGTTTCAATAAAGTGCAGGATGTCTCTTGACAAAAATATTTTCAATCATCTCTGTATTAAGCAATAGACTAGTCAATCAATTGGAAGATGACATTGTGTCATAGAAATGTAGTCTAGGGAACTGTGATATAGAACCTTATATCTATTTTAATCATACATATTTTTAAATGTGAATTTTGTTACCATTATGTTTTGGAAAACATACAAGCAAATAATGTGGGGTTATCTTATAACACAGAATATCACAGAAAGAAATAACAAAGAAAGAGAAAAATATATATGTGTGATGAGAAGTATCTCCAAATGGGCCACCAATAATATATATACTAACTTGAGTCAAATAAAATATTTCATTTAGCAAGATTTTGACCTATAATAGCAGTTAGTAGTTTAAAATACATTGGCTATAATGTGAAATCTTGACAGTTCAGAAAATATTGAGTTGGATACAATGGATTTAATGAACAAACATTGCTCTTTCTATTTGTATTTGCATATATATATATATATGTGTTCATATTTAGTATTACATGCATACATTTATCGATATACTACATTATATGTACATATTGGAAATGCATATATATTAATTTATACAATAAAACATTCAAATCTACAAAATGAGATTTTTGACATTTGATGTATCTTTTCAAAATTGTTATGATAGTCATGTCAGAGGTTATGAATAAAAATAAACCTAATATCAATCTATACACCAGCTTCAAGTACACATAATGGAGCCTAACACAAATAATTTATATTATGATAATTCATTGTGTGGTTTCCTCAAGCTGATAGATGTCAACACTACTTTCCTATAACTATGCAGATAAAACTGGGTATCAGATGTCTTATTGTGTAATTACAGTAGCAAAAGAAAACAGCACACTTGTAATTATAATTGTGGTGTCATATACACATTTCATTTAATGATACACATTGTTATATGTTAAATAGTTTTAAAATGGCTTGCATCAGCAGTAACATAGTCTGGCTAATGATGTAATTTTAAACGGTAAGTGAGAAGTATTCATTGTTCCTGTTGAACTTATCCAACAATTAGTACACCATAGATAGTGTCCTTACCATGGTCCCATGATGGCAGTAGATTGAGAAGTGAGATCTTCTGTTTGCCATGAATAGAAATCTATTTTTTATGTTCTTTTTATGAAACGTGAACAAGCATGGTCAGTCTCTTCATTGAGTTATATCTAAACCACAAGCCAAATTTAAGAAAATAACTAATTAATAGAATTAGTGTATTTTTGAAAATACATATGATTCATAACTCACTGCTATAATTTTTTCTGTCTTTACAGTCCTTTCATGTCTAACAACAAACAACACTGACCAAAAGCACACATAAAATTGCCTTTCTCTCTTTCCTAGCTTCCCTTTCTCCCTCCCTAACACCAGTCTCTCTGTGATGTGGACCAATGCAGTTTTCTTTCTAATCAATTCCCCCTATTGGTGGATGTCTTGGCCTTTCAGGCTTCTATAATAAAATACCTTGGACTGGGTAATTAATACAATAATAGAAATGTATTTCTCACAGTTTTGGAGGCTGAGAAGTTCAAGATCAAAACACCAGTAGATTAACTCAGTGAGTAATGAAGGTTTCAAAGATGACGTGATGCCTATTATTGCACCCTCACTTGGCGATAGCACGAAAAGGGCACTAATCCCATTAAAGTGGGTGGATCCTTCGTGACTCAGTCAAATCCCCAAAGGCCCCACCTATCAATATTATCACATTGGGTATTAGGTTCCAACTTATAAATGTTGGGGAGACATCAGCATTCAGACCATAGCAAGGGCCTATCCATTTTCTGATGTGGCATTACAAATGTCTAGGAGCTGCTCTGTTAACCTCTACTCTTCTGAACTAGGCAAGAGTGAGAAAGCAAAGATTCTTTATTAGAATGAGAGAAAGTAAAAAGTGGGACAACCTATATATTAAATTATGTTACTCTTTTAATATATAAACATTTTGATATTACTCTTATATTTATATTACACATATTTATATATTTATATATCATATAAATAAATATACACATATAAATATATATGCATATATAATGTATATCTAATATATATAAATTACTCATATAACTATTTAGACCACTCATATTTATATGAGTAATGTAAAATGTATATAATTATCAATATATGAATAATGGGATATGTATATAATTATCAATATATGAATAATGGGATATTGTAAATGAACAGTGAAGGAAAGACTCAGTGTTAAGAGAGGAAATACTAATGTTTAGTAATTAATTTCAAACTTCAAATTTTTTAGTTTAGTAATTAACTTCAAACTTCAAATTTCTTAGGTAGTTTTCTTACAACTATATACTCAAAAAATAAAAAGAAATAGGACAAAATAAGTCTAGAGAATTAATAAATGCTTTTTGGTGTTTGTTTCCTACCACAATTATGTGTCTCTCATCTTTTTGATATATTTAGCTCTAAATTCTTTCCTCTTTTCAGAAGTTTGCATTTTTAATTGGGTTTTCAGCACAAATATTTTAAAAAGAAGTTTACTGATCATTGTGAAGTAATTGTTACCTATGTGCTGACAATCTTCAAATTCACATTTTAATCCAGATGCCTTTTCTGATTACAAAACCTAAGAAATTTCTTCTCATTCATGCTTCAGAAGAACACAAAAATTCAAAATGAATAAAAATTAATTTATTATACCATCAATCCAAGCATTAAATTTATATTTCTTAATTCCAGTATTGGCAGCACCACTCATCAAGTTACCCAAATTAGAAAACCTGAGCAGAAAAATTAAAAAAAAATTAAAGCCAGAAAATATTAAATTTCTAAAAAAAAAATCATGAAAGAAACTTAAAAATCAGAAAACTCTCTTCTTTCTTTCACCAATATCAAATCAACCACAATATCACCTTAATCTATGACCTAAATATCTCTTGAATTTCTTCACTATTCCCAGTGTCTACCACTATCACCTTATTCTGTTTATAATCATTTCACTCACCTGCTTCGTTACTTGTTTCTTATTTTCCTTAGTGTTTTGAAGACTGGAATCTTTAACATGCAATCCTCTCAGTTATGGTCTTTTTGTTTTCATCTCTATTTTACACCTCATCTCCACACTCCTCACATTCTAACTATATTATATTTTATTCATCGATTCATATTTGCTATAATTTATCTCAACTTAAGACCAATTTTCATGTCCTCATTACCCCAAAAAGAAAAGATAATACATACTGTGGAATTTTTCTTTGTTGCATGAACTAGGCTTACTCAGTTGCAAGTTTTCTTGGACTTTTATTATTTCTTGGTCTTTTTAGTTACATCACATAAATCTTCTTACTATGTCAGACATTTCCTCATTTTTAGAGTTATAAGATATAAGAATCTGGTTTGGACTTAGAAAGGAAATAAGCTTTCAGCTTACTTTTTAGACCACCTTAGGTCTTTTCCAAAAATGGGTGAAAACATCCTATACCCTCCCACAGTTCACCAGTGGACTCTTTTATTATGCTTAGGACAAAGATTCAAAATACCTCAGAATATTTTTATTTTTACATAGAGCAATCTTTCAGCATGTACTCCTTGGAAGCTTCTAGAAAAAGTAGCATTGTATCAGAATCTGCTATTTTGCTTATACTGTTTTTGTCCATGGCACTCTGCACATTCTCAATTTATAACATTCTTTGTGCTATGTTACTTTAAAAAGGCTTCCTTCTGAGTAGGTTTGGTAATGATGACTTAAAGTCCTTTTCATTTTTGTGATTCTAATGGTTACTTTTACTTCAATTGCCTCTGCACAATGGTTTTTTACATTTATTTTTGCACTTTTCAAATCATTCTGTTACCTATGCTGGGATTTATTTTTCTTGTATTCTTAAAACTTTAGTTCTCAGTTCAGTATCTGGCTTACTACCTTCAACTTAAAAAATCTCAATTTCATCTTTAAAAAAAATACTATTCTGTTTCAGTAGGTATTAGATAAAAGAAATTTAAAATAAATGTGACATTTTGCAACTATATAAATGCTACAACTGGAATGACATTTAAGGGTTCCAGAACCTGGCTATTTTCTCAGGGGACCTTGTGTCTGTAATTCAGACACACTGATGCCAGACTGTGATGCTATGGTAGTTTCCTAGACCTATGACCTGCCTATAAATCTATCCTAAAACAGAGGCAAATGATCAGTTTCCCTTGACTCAGTACTTATTTCTTATGGAAGAGAAGGAAGTCAGGCTGAAGATAGGGCTGAAGTGGCATAATATCAAAACCAGCATAGGGATAAAAACTTCAGAGTTTTTAAAGCAAATTAAGACAAATAATATTCTTTAAAGTCATTTGTAGATAATGATCAAACAAAAAAGGATGCTACTATTAAATAGTGATCAGGGAGCTCTCAAGTTTAGTTTTCCAAAGATTTTTACCTTCCTAACATGAATGTCAGCATCTGCTTGTGCATAATAAATGTATTACATGTAAAAGGCCAGACAAAAGTCAATACTAAGGTGTTAAAGTTTAATTACTTAAATTTCTCCTAATATCAATTTTGCAACTATCTAGCACTCATCATCCTGCTGGGTTTGCTAGTATTGCTTGCATAAGACAAAAGCCTGCTGAAATCACTCTCCTTCAAAATACAGTATGATGTAGCTGAAGGAAATGAAACCCCATTTGTAAGTCTCAAATAGATGTTATCTCTCTGCCAGTATTACTAAAGCAAATATGAACTGCACTTCTGCTATGACTATTTAATCCCTCTACCAATATGGCATGTCTCTTAGTTGTTATACCAATTGCTTTGCAAACAGTGAATGGATTACTGCTTATAAATTTCTCCTGGCATGTCGAATTTCCAAATTAGGTACAAATTTTAACAAATGGGGTAAAACTATTGATAGGGTAACATTTTGTGCACTTTATAAATATTATAGCCTAAACTAAACATAATGATTTTTGAAAATTCAAATGAGTATAATTTTTAGAAAATTAGTTCTAAATCTAGAAGTGAAAGTATCTTCCAAGTAGAGAGATGTAATATTATATAAAATATCTTTTAAAGAAATGTCCTTTTTTCAGTCCTATTGGTAAAAAAAATTTTCAATATTATTCATCTCTTTTTAAAACAATCCAACTGGCTTGTATAGCTTGCATTTATGTGTAAGCAAGGTTAAATTTAGCAGTAATTCAGGTTAATCTCAAGTACGTATATTGTGCATATGGCCCCATACTTGTAAACTTCTAAAATCACAGAACATGATATTTTAGGTTGCTTGAAACAGTTTGTAATAGAAAAGCCTTTTGCTCACAAAAGAGAGCATATCAGAAACTTTTTGGAAACATATCCTTGACTTTTGCCACTTTTCCACCTTCTTAAGTCTTTCACATGCTCCATCTTTATTTTCATTATAACATTTTTCTTTACCTCCCCTTTGGCTTGTAACAAATCATTTTTGCATCCTGTATCTGTATCATTGAACAAGAATTTATCAAGTACTTTCTATGTACAACCTAATATTTATTTTGCTATGGAATATGAAAGGTTGAAGAAAATACGACTTTTCAACTTGCCTCTGGATGCGAACAAACCCTAGTAGTTGAAACAATAACATTTCCAATATGTATTCCTCTTAAAGGGCTCAGAGGCTTAGAAGCTCTCCATTTCCTCTATAAGCAAGGTACCTTCACAGTGAAACTATTAACAGACAATTCCTTGTTTTGAGGGCAGCCCTGTATCCTGCATGATGTTTACCAGCATCCCTGGCTCCTACTCACCAGATACCAATAACAATCTTTCCCCTGAACAGTCGTGCCAATGTCTCCTGACATTGCCAAATGTCCCTGAGGGGAAAAATCAATCATATTTGAGAGCCATTCCTCTGTAACACCTCCTGTCTAGGGTCCAAAGCTCTCTTAATTCACTAAGCTTGTAGCTATTCTCTAGTGAGCCACACACTTCTCTCTGCATTAAGTGTAACGCTTATTAAGACTCAGCCAGCTCTTATAAAACTGTTCAAGCCAGTTTTACTGCTCTTTTCAATTATATGCATTAATTAAATTAAATAAGCACTTAAAAATCATTAGAAAAAAGAGTTCTATTAAGAAAATTGCATGCTTTGGAAATAATAAAGGTGAATCAGAATAATCACTGTCAAGGTAGTGTGAGACAAGTATAAGATGTAATTGAGGAAAAAAGATTATAAAACTCAAAGGATGATGAGACCAAACTATTACAAAAATGTACTTACATTCTCTCCCCACTGTAGGAAAATAAAATTAGCTGCTAAAAAAGTCTTCCGGGTATACAAGAAAGACAACAGGAAACTCGATTGAGAATAATCCCCCATACTCAAAACAAAGGCTTTGGTCAGCATTGAGAGAATAAAATGTTTGTTTACATTTTAAGTGAAATTCAACGTTTATCTTTAATTTAGGAAATATACACTTAAACCAATTTTTCTTTTTCTTCTTTGTAAATTTTATTTTAAGTCCAGGGGTACATGTGCAGGTTTGTTGCACAGGTAAACTTGGATCATGGGAGTTTGGTAAAACAGATCATTTTATCACCCAGGTATTAAGCCTAGTACTCATCAGTTATTTTTCCTGATCCTTTTCCTCCTCCCACCTTTCACCCTCCTGATAGGCCCCAGTGTGTATTCTTCCCCTCTATGTGTCCATGTGTCATCATCTTCTAGCCCCACTTTTAAGTGAGGACATGTGGTATTTTTTTTTTCTCCCTGCATTAGTTGGCTAAGGATAATGGCTTACAGCTCCAACCAAGTCCCTGTGAAGGACAAGATCTCATCCTGTTTTATGACTACATAGTATCCCATGGTATATATGTACCACAATTTTTTAATCCAATCTATCATTGATGCGTATTTAGGTTGATTCCATGTCTTTGTTATTGTGAAAGGTGCTTCAATAAACATACCCATGCATGTGTCTTTATAATAGAATGATTTATATTCCTTTGGGTATACACTCAAATAATGGGATTGCTGGGTTGAAGGGTATTTCTGTCTTTAGGTCTTTGAGGAATCACCACATTGTCTTCCACAATAGTTGAACAAATTTATACAACCACCAACAGTGTGTAAGCATTCCTTTTTCTCCACAACCTTGCCAGCATCTGTTATTTTCTTACTTTTTAATAATAGCCATTCTTAATGGCATGGGACAATATCTTATTGTGGCTTTGACTTGCATTTCTCTAAGATCAGCGATGTTGAACTTTTCTTCATATAATTGTTTGCTGCATGCATGTCCTCTTTTGAAAAGGGCCTGTTCATGTTTTTTGCCAACTTTTTAATGGGTTGCATTGGGTTTGTTTTTTAAATGTTTAAGTTTATTGTATATGTTGTATATTAGACCTTTGCCAGATGCAGTGTGCAAAAATTTTATCACATTGTGTAGGTTGTTTACTCTGTGGGCAATTTTTCCTTTTTTCTTTCCTTTTTTTTTTTTTTTTTGCTATGCAGAATCTCTTTATATTAATTAGATGCTATTTGTCAATTTTTGCTTTTGTCGCAATTGCTTTTGGCATCTTCATTATGAAATTTTTGCCCGTGCCTATGTCCTGAATGGTACCGCCTAAGTTGTCTTCCAGGGTTTTTATAGTTTTGGGTTTTGAATTTAAGTAAGTCTTTAATCCATCTTGAGTTAATTTTTGTATATGGTATAAAAAGGAGTCCAGTTTTAATCTTCTGCATATGGCTATCCAGTTATCCCAGCACCATTTATTGAATAGGAAATCCTTTCTCTATTCCTTGTATTTGTCAGGTTTGTTGAAGGTCAGATAGCTGCAGGTGTGCAGTCTTATATCTGGATTCTCTATTCTGTTTCATTTGTCTATGTATCTGTTTTTGTACCAGTACCATGATGTTTTGGTTCCTATAGCCCTGTAGTATAGTTTGAAGTCAGATAGTGTGATGTCTCCAGCCCTGTTCTTTTTGCTTAGGATGCCTTGGCTATTCAGGCTCTCTTTTGGTTCCATATGTATTAAAAAAATTTTTTTTTTCTAGTTCTGTGAAGAATCTCAAAGGTAGTTATATTAGTCAGGGTTCTCTAGAGGGACAGAAGTAATAGGATAGATGAATATATAAAGGGGAGTTTATTAAGGAGTATTGACTCACAGGATCACAAGGTGAGGTCCCACAATAGGCCATCTGCAAGCTGAGGAGCAAGGAAGCCAATCTAAGTCCCAAAGCTGAAGAACTTGGAGTCTGATGCTTGAGGGCAGGAAGCATCCAGCAAGGGAGAAAGATGTAGGCCAGAAGACTAAACCAGTCTAGCCTTTCCACGTTCTTCTGCCTGCTTTAATTTTGGCGACTCTGGCAGCTGATTAGATTGTGCCCACACAGATTGAGGGTGGGTCTGCCATTCCCAGTCTACTGACTCAAATGTTAATTTCCTTTGCCAACACCCTCACAGACACACCCAGGAACAATACTTTGCATCCTTCAGTCCAATCAAGTTAACACTCAGTATTAACCATCACAGTAGTTTAATAGGAATAGCATTGAATCTATAAATTGTTTTGGACAGTATGACCACTTCAGCAATATTTATTCTTCCTATCCATGAACATTTGTTTGTGCCATCTTTGGTTTCTTTCAGCAGTGCTTTGTCGTTCTCCTTGTAGAGATCTTTCATCTCCCTTGTAAGCTCTAATCCTAGGTATTTTATGCTTTTGGTGGAAATTGTGAATGGGAGTTCATTCCTGATTTGAGTGTCAGCTTGACTGTTGTTGGTGTATAGGAATGCTTGTGGTTTTGCACATTGATTTTGCATCCTAGGATTTTGCTGAAGTTGTTAATCAGCTTAAGAAGCTTTTGGGCTGAGACTATAGGGGCTTTTTTAGATACAGGATAATGTAATCTGCAAACAGGGATAGTTGTACTTCCTCTTTACCTATGTGGGTGCTCTTTGTTTATTTCTCTTGCCTGATTACCCTGGTCAGAACTTCCAATATTGTGTTGAATAGAAGTGATGATAGAGGGCATCCTTGTCTTTTGCTGGTTTTCAAGAGAAGTGCTTCCAGCTTTTGCCCATTAAGTATGATGTTGACTGTGGGTTTGTCATAAATGGGCCTTATTATTTTTAGGTATGTTCCTTCAATACCTAGTTTATTGAGAGGTTTTTTTTACACAAAAGGGTGTTGAAATCTATGGAAAGCTTTTTCTGTGTGAATTGAGATATCATGTGGGATTTTTTCTTTAGTTCTGTTTATATGATCAGTCACAATTACTGATTTGTGTTTGTTGGACTAACCTTGCATGGCAGGGCTGAAACCTACTTGATCATGGTGGATAAGCTTTTTGATATGTTGCTGGATTCAGTTTCCCGTATTTTGTTGATAATTTTTGCATTGATGCTCATCTGGGATATTGGCCTGAAGTTTTCTTTTTTTGTTGTGTCCTTGCCAGTCCCTTCTCTTCAATTCATTAAAATAGTTTTAGCAGAAATGGTACCAGCTCTTCTTTGTACATCTGGTCGATTTCAGCTCTGACTCTGTCTGGTCCTGGGCTTTTATTGGTTGATAGGCTATTTATTACTGGCTCGATTTCAGAACTCATTATTGGTCTGTTCAGGGATTCAATTTCTTCCTGGGCGAGTCTTGAGAGGGTGTATGTTTCCAGATTTTCTAGTTTATATGCATAGAATTCTTTATAATATTCTCTGATGGCTGTTTATATCTCTGTTGGGTTAGTGGTAATATCCCTCCTTGTCGTTTCTGATTATGTTTATTTGAATCTTCTCTCTATATATTTATTTTATTTTATTTTATTTTATTTTGAGAACGAGTCTCACTCTGTTGCCAGGCGGGAGTGCAGTGGTGCGATCTCGGCTCACTGCAACCTCTGCCTCCTGGGTTCAGGTGATTCTCCTGCCTCAGCCTCTTGAGTAGCTGAGACTACAGCTGCATGTCACCACGCCCAACTAATTTTTTTGTATTTTTAGTAGAGATGGGGTTTCACCATGTTGGCCAGGATGGTCTCAATCTCTTAACCTCGTGGCCTGCCCGCCTCGGCCTCCCAAAGTGCTGAGATTACAGGCGTGAGCCACCGCGCCTGGCCTATTTTATTAATTTTTTCAAAAAGCCAGCTTCTGGATCTTTGACCTTTTGAATGGTTTTTTGTGGTTCTATCTCCTTCAGTTCTGCTCTGATTGTGTCTTTTCCCTGTTTTCTGCTAGATTTGGGATTTGATTGTTCTTGGCCCTCTAGTTCTTTTAGTATTGATGTTAGGTTAAATCAGATTCTTTTGACAAGCAAATGCTGAGGGAATTGTTACCGCCTATACTGCCTTACAAGAACTCCTGAAGGAAGCACTAAATATGGAAAGAAAAAACTTACCAGCCGCTATAAAAACACACTGAAGTACACAGACCAGTGACACTATAAAGCAACCCCATAAAATAGCCTGCAAAATAACCAGCTAACATCATGATGACAGCATCAAACCCACACATGTCAACACTACCCTTAAATGTAAGTGGGCTAAATGCCCCAATTAAAAGAAGTAGAGTGGCAAGCTGGATAAAGAACTAAGACCCATTAGTACCTTGTCTTCAAGAGACCTATCTCATATGCAGTGACACACATAGGCTCAAAATAGAGATGGAGAAAAATCTACAAAGCAAATGGAAAACAGAAAAAAGCAGGGGCTGCAATCCTAGTTTCTGACAAAACAGACTTTAAACCAACAAAAATTTTAAAAGACTAAAAGGGCATTACATAATGGTAAATGGTTCAATTCAACAAAAAGAACATAGTATTCTAAATATGTATGTACCCAACACAGGAGCATCCAGATTCATAAAGCAAGTTCTTAGAGACCTTCAGTGAGCGTTAGACTTTCACACAATAATAGTGGGAGACTTTAACACCCCACTGAGAATATTAGACAGATCTTTGAGATAGAATATTAACTGAGATACTCAGGACCTGAACTCAGCACTGGATCAATTGGACCTGCTAAGTATCTACAGAACTTTCCACCCTAAAACAACAGAATATACATTCTGTGTATGATATGGTATATTTCTTTGTGTGTGAGTGTATGTGCAAATATAATATTTAGAATATGTACATTTATATTACAAAATACATTGTGCATGTGTATACATATGTACATACCATATTACATTAAAAAAGGAACAGAATTTATAGATTGCCTTATAACTATATGTAAATATATACATTTATATACCATAATTTTATTAGTACATCCATTCACCGCTTTTGTTTTTATGTTTCTTAGTTGTCTATTATATGGATTTTTATACTTATATATTCTATAATAAAATGATTACATATTGTATATATGGCATATGGCATGGACGTTACATATTTCACCTCTGTCCTCCTATTGATAAGTTTCTAAGTGTCATAGTTGGCTCCTACAAATAATTTTGAAATGCCTATTTTTGTACATAAGTTGGATTAATCTCTTGGAGAGATTTCTAGTGATGGAAATCACAGGTTTTCAGGCTCTGCCTGATTCCTTTTAGCCCCAGTCTGGTCAAATGCATGGCCTTGCTTCTCCTTACATGCCTGGCTTCCAGTTAGAATATAACATAGGGACAGAAATACAGAACTAACTCGAGAGGTAAGGGGGCCAAGGACTGGGAACCCCAGCATTAGGATAATCTCCGTATTCTCTCCTTCCCTTTTTCCATTAATCTGTCACGTTTTACTTAAAGGTGCTCCAGAACATACTGGTGCTAATGCCCACCCAATATCCCCAGCCCCAAGGCTGGCCTGTCAGCTGAGAAGGTCACATTCAGCTTCATCTGCACGTTCAATTCCCTCTGTGGTCTCCTATTTTACCAACCTGACAAACAAACAAAAGTCACACTCAGATCCAGCAGCTCCTGGTGCTGTGATCCCACTCAGTGGCCTTGCTATCTGGGACGTGCATGCCTTTGACTGATGCACTGGACCACTTCCAGGAATATTTTGGTTTTTCTGCCTCTAGGGACCAACCACCACTAGTAATGAAGCAGCATCGCTTCACCCTGCCCTGCTCCTGTGTGTCTTTTAATTAGCCCAGGGTCACACACTCTGCTAGGTAACACAGTGCATTTTTCACATTATGAGATGTAAATCCCAAATTGTCAAATAAGGGAACTAACGATCTTTGAACCAAACAGACTGGCATTTTTGTTTTGAGCGGGATATACCAGTAACCATCTGGGATTATTTTAAAGCCACATCTGTCTTCTAAGCACCTTCAATTTAACAATATTAATGCTAGGTGGTTCTTATTTTAGTTGCATTTCTATCAAACCAAGAGCAAAGGTTAATTCCTTTTCTGGCCTTTGTGCTTTGGCAAGGGAACACAATGAATATTAAATGAATAAAAATGACTAATCATTGCCTTCCTTTATATACTTCATGAGAGTTACCATGAGAACAAATATTATAACCTTTCTTTTCTGTTCTTTTAATGGAACCATTAATAACACTAGGTAAAATGAAAGTATACAACAATGCAGTGTTTTTTCTTCATGCTAATTACGTTGTCAGCTTTTTGTCTGAGTATATAATTGTCTCTAGCAGCAACCAATATTGTAACATGTGAGTGCCTTGTATTAGGGTTTTGTTTATGGTGGCCCAGAAAAGGACACAACCTTGATAGCTAGACTCTTTGGTTGAATAATTCAACGTAATAATGCATCAATAGAGAATTCCCTGGCCATGACTAACTACTAAGAGGACAAGTACTAGTGAGGCAAAACGAGGAGTCAGATTCTGAAGTTTAGAGGCCACCTTTTATTGATCTAGTCCAGTGGTTTTCAAATTTCAGAGTATTTGTGATTGATAATGTATCCGTGCACCCAACTCTAAGAAACATCACAACAGGCATCCAGTATTGCCATGTTTGGTGATTGGTTGGTGCCCCAAACATAAGCATGAATGGTGCAACTTCCTGGCAGTACTTCGTTTAACGTGTTCATACCTACAATTCCACAAAATGTGGAATTTGTGCGTGTGTATGTAATTATGAAAGTGAAGGCATTATACCACGTTTAACCCCTGTAGATAATGGGCAAGAAAGCCTTACAGTTTTCCTCAGCTTGACAAATCTTTAGACTTCTTCCTGACTGTAGGTCCCTAACCTTCCTTTCGTGAAAATATTTACTTTAGAAAACTTGCAACGGTTATTTTCTACTCTGTTCTTCTGAAATATAAATTCACAGTACAGAAATGTTTTCCCCACAACCTGGAAGCCATCTTTTTGACATGCACTCATCAAAAAATATAGGGCTCTGTCTCCAAGTTTCCAGAGTAGGGTAGAAGTCTAAATTCCAGAGGTGACTATTAGCAAACACAGGTGACCTAATCCTATTGACCAAGATCTCCAGAACTTTTTTATTAGCTCACCTAATGTCTAAAAATAGTTTTGAACCCCTGTACTAAGAATCTTGAATAAAGTTATACTTGATGTTTTTTGAACAGGTGCCAGTGCAAATTTTATTTTACAATAAGTGCATAAGTACGACACCCTGGCACTAGGTCTTTGGAGCCCCCATCATAATCAGTGACCTAATTCTTTATTTCCTTTTTATTTATTTATTTTTTCTGAGATGGAGTTTCACTCTGTCATCCAGGCTGTAGTGCAGTGGCACAATCTCAGCTCACTACAACCTCCGCCTCTGGGGTTCAAGTGATTCTCCTGCCTCAGCCTGTCAAGTAGCTGGTATTACAAGTGCATACCAAGACACCAGGCTAATTTTTGTATTTTTAGTAGCAAAGGGGTTTCACCATGTTGGCCAGACTGGTCTCGAACTCCTGAACTTGGCCTCCAAAAGTGGTGGGATTACAGACATGAGCTACCACCCCCAGACCCTAATTCTTAATAATTTTTTTTAAAAAAATTATGGGTGCCTCTTATTTTGGATGACTTATTTTTAAACACATAAGACCATCTATGAGGTAAGATGTAAAAATGGAAAATCTTTAGCCCTGGATACCACTAGGAATATGTTTGCTGTATAAATTACAAATAATTATTTCCTAATTATTAGGCACAATTCAGTCCTAAGAAAGGTGACGCTAATGAGTTCATTTTTTTGAAATTAAAATACACATATTCTTGATTAGATAATAGGATAAAGTAAAAAGATTAGCTTCCTTTTACTTTAAGATACTTAAATTGTAAATCATAAAATAAGCTATATAGAAAACCTGATCCTTAATTATTAATTAATTACTTTTCTACAATACCAATTGTATTCATCAGGGTTCTCTAGAGGGACAGGAATAACAGGATAGATATAAAGGGGGGTTTCTTAAGTAGTATTAACTCACATGATCACAAGGTCCCACAGTAGGCCATCTGCAAGCTGAGGAAAAAGGAAGCCAGTCCAACTCCCAAAGCTGAAGAACCTAAAGTCTGATGTTCGAGGGCAGGAAGCATCCAGCAGGGGAGAAATATGTAGGTTGGGAGGCAAAGCCAGTCTTGGTCTTTTCACTTCCTTCTGCCTGCTTTTATTCGGGCTGCGCTGGCAGCAGATTAGATGGTGCTCACCCAGATTAAGGGTGTGTCTGCCTTTCCCAGTCCACTGACTCAAATGTTAATCTACTTTGGAAACACCCTCACACCCAGGATCAATACTTTGCATGCTTCAATCTAATAAAGTTGACACTCAGAATTAACCATCGCATCAATATACTTGAAAATATACACAGTATGAGCATTTGTTAAGAGATCAAAAAGATAGATTGTATTATTTAACATGTTCAATCCATTGATATTTTATAAATTTAAATTAATTTGAAATGAGTATATTTAAATTCTTAATTACTTATAATGTAGGTGTTGAGAGATAATAGATAATATGTATGTTTTATATCCCTCAAATATGACGAAGAATTCTGAAAAAGAATTCCAAAAATCGTCATTTAATTATAGATCTATTCATATGACTATATGAGGTTAAAACTCAATAAAGTCTGATGACAAAAATATAAATTAGATAATTCTGCACATAATATAATGAGACTCTTTTTAACGAGTATCACATAATCTGGCTACCTAGTATTTTGTCTTACTAGAATCTCTGAGAAATACTTTATGGAGGCCACATTTTATCCTCTGAAACTAATAACGAAAGACAGGGGTATACGCAGAAGAAATCCAAATGTCTTTTTTTAAAAAATTGCCTTTATATAGAAGTTAGTCATTTATAAATTTATGTAATATATTCTATAAACACGTTTTATTTTGAATATAAAGTTTAGGTCTACTAGCCTGTGAATGAAATGATTTTCATCTTTGCATATTTCAGAACTTGGTCTTAAAAGGGAAATCTGTAATGGCAAAAACTAAACAAACACATGCTAGAACATTTTCATCCTTCATCCACTGAAAAGCTTATCCTATGTTTGGGTTTACATCAGCAGCAGTCTCTGAGGTAAGGCTCTACATATAATTTGATTATTTTGTTGGTGACAAAAATCTGGCCCTAGGGGTGAGGGAAACAGGGAAGAGAAGGCAATCGATAAAGGTTATCTTCCATTATTACACATACAATTATGGGTGATGTGAGATCAATCCCGCATGGAAAATCCAAGAACTATAGAAAATACACAACTCTGTGATCCCCTGAAAAGTGAGGGAATTTGGGTATTTATAAGTCAATTCCCAACCACAAATAGTTGGGTGCTGCTAAGTGGAGGGTGTTGTAAATTACCTTCCAGGTGAATGACAGGCCATCAAAATGCTCAGACAATGAATGGAAGATGTGTTGATTACAACAATCCTTCCTGCTCAAGCCTACATATAATCTAAAGCAGGGGTCCCCAACCACAGGGCCACAGACTGGTACCAGTCCATGGCCTGTTAGGAGCTGAGCCACGCAGCAGAGGTGAGTGGCGGGTCAGTGAGCTAACCGTCATCTGTATTTACAGCTGCTCCCCATCACTTGCATTACCACCTGAGCTCTGCCTTCTTCCAGGTCAGCGGTAGCATTAGATTCCCATAGGAGCATTAACCTTATTGTGAATTGCACATGTGAGGGATCTAGGTTCCGTACTCCTTATGAGAATCTAATGATCTTGATGATCTGAGGTGGAGCTGAGGTGGTGATGCTAACACTGGGGAGCGACTGCATGTACAGATTAACATTAGCAGAGAGGTTTGACTGCACAAAGACCATAATGAATCAATTGCTTGCAGATTCATAGCAAAATCCTATCAGTGAATAGCAAGTAACAATTAAGCTGCATCTGGTGTCAGGCCTTAAGTTCGAATCCAACACTTACTTTAGTCTGCACATGACTGACCTACTATTTTATTTACCACTTCCCTCTGTGCCTCTTTTCTGCACTGTGCACTTGTCTCAGTCACAGTTTTGGTAAGCCAGTGATCTAACGCTAGCCAAAATGAGTGAAAAACAGACATCACTTGGCAGCTACTTTGAAAACAGGGAAAGACCCAATGATGAGATAGCAGAAGACTCTAAGACTGACAAAAAAGAGAAAGCTGCATTTAAAAGAAAATACCAAGAGTCCTATTTAAATTATTGATTTTATTGCAACAGGTGATTCACATTGTCCAAGCCTAGTTTGTATACTATGAGGCTACCAGCTATCCAACAAAGCCATGAAACCTTCAAAACTGCTTTGACACATGGAAATCAAGCACCTGCATTAAAAGACAAGCCTTAGGAGTTCTTCAAAAGAAAAAAGAAATGAAGACAAAGAACAGAAGCAATTATTGAAGGCCACAACTTCATCAAATGTGTCTGCACGGAGAGCATCATCCTTAGTGGCTAACCACATTGCTAAAGCTAAGAAGCCCTTTACTATTGGTGAAGAGTTGATCCTACCTGCTCCTAAGAAAATTTGTTGTAAACTTTTAGGAGAGGCTGCAGTTCAAAAGGTGGCAGGTATTCCTCTTTCAGCTAGCACCATAACAAGACAAATTGAAGAAATAACAGAGGATATTGAGGCATAATTGTTAGAGAGGATTAATGAGTCACTAGGGTATGCAATCCAGGTTGATGAGTCTGCCAATGTTGACAACAAAGTAACAATCCTTGTTTTTGTGCAATACATTTTTCAGGAGAATGTGCATGATAATATGTGATGTACACTTTTGTTGCCAACCAACAGCACAGCCGCAGAACTATTCAAGTATTTGAATGATTACATATCAGGAAAAAAAA
Organism: Homo sapiens; assembly: GCF_000001405.40. Taxonomy (NCBI): domain Eukaryota; kingdom Metazoa; phylum Chordata; class Mammalia; order Primates; family Hominidae; genus Homo; species Homo sapiens. The sequence goes on along the minus strand of NC_000005.10, from coordinate 25,242,882 downwards.
GGAATTGGTCATTTTTCATAGGTATATGAATGACCAGAGCAGCCGCCATGACTGGATGGCTTTCTGGTTTGACTACTCAGGTCAAAGAGTTTGCTTCCGAATATGAGTCTACGCGGGTCAAAGAGTTTGCTTTTGAAAATGAGTCTACCCACTGTGTCATCCATGGAGAAATGCTGGCTAGCCAAATGTTGTCACCTGAACTTAACAATGTTAAAATTATCAACCACATTAAAGTGCATGCCGTTAACTCACATCTGTTTGCTCAACTCTGTGAGGAGATGGACGCAGAGCACACACATCTTTTCTTATACACAGAAGCAAGATAGCTTTCTAAAGATAGATCACTGGCCAGAATTTTTGAGTTACAAGAGCTACACCAGAAATTTCTTTTAGGAAAACAAAAGGGGTTGCAAGATTTGCTTTCTTGTGTGACATATTCAGCCTGCTCAACAAATCCAATCTGTCGCTTCAAGGGAGAATGACAACTGTGTTCAAATTGGCAGATAAAGTGGCAGCATTCAAAGCCAAACTGGAATTGTGGGGATGATGAGTGAACATTGAAATTTCTGACACGTTTCAAACATTAGGAGAGATTTTGAAAGAGACTGAGCTAAGGCCTTCTTTCTCCCATTTGGTGCATGATCACCCATCTAGGCTTTCAAAAGAGTTTGAGCATTACTTCCCAACCACAAAAGACCCCTGCAGAGGGAAGTAATGGATCCACAATGCATTTGTGAATAAGCCACATGAATAAGCCACAAAGCCACTTCGTGCTAGAAGAGGATCAACTGCTTGAGATTGCAAATGACGGTGACCTGAAAAGTATATTTGAGATAATTTCAGAAGTCCATACGTTTTGGATTAAAGTCAAGGAAGGCTATCTTGAGATTGCCACAACAGCACTGACAAGCCTGCTTTTATTTCCAACATCCTATCTTTGTGAAGCAGGGTTTTCTGCAGTGACATCAACCAAAATGAGATTACCTAGTAGACTGGACATAAGCAACATACTTCAGGTGTCACTGTCACCCATTACCCCCAGATGAAACTCTACATGCAGAAAAACAAGCTCAGGACTCCCACTTATTCTACATTATTGTTGAGTTGTGTAATTATTTCACTTTCTATTACAATGTAATAATAATAGAAATAAAGTGTGCAATAAATGGAATATGTTTGAATCATCCCAAAACCGCCTCCCACTTCCCAGTCTCAGTGCATGGAAAAATTGTTTTCCATGAAACAGGTCCCTGAGGCCCAAAAGGTTGGAGACTGCTGATCTAAACCTTTTTCCAATCCTGCCATTCCTGCAGCCAATATAAACAATCGGATTTTAAGGTTTTAACTTAAAGACACTGATTTAGCTTCCAAAATTCCAAAGATTTTTCACCGGCGCACCCTAGACAAGTTACATTAGTAATCTGAAAAATATTAAAAAATACTCCTACTGCACACAATATTTTACTATCATATATATTAGTGGAAACTCCATATGTTTAATCATATTTAATCAATTCTATCAGTATTGGTAATTCCATTAATAAAATCTTAAACATTTTCATATTTATTATTTTCTAGCATAAAGATATTCTGATTCTTTTATTGTGCCTTTTTGTTCTCTTTGCACTGGTGTTTGACTATGTAGAAGTATATGTCATCTTTTAACTTAAATAATGGTTATTTCTCTTTTGCCTAGGAATCGTTTATAATTGTATTTGATAAGAAGAAGCCTATAGAAGATGAAAAGTTTGAAGGATTACAAATAGGTGAATTAGGGAAGCCGAGGAAAGAAAATTTTTTAAGAAGTGAGGAGTCAGCACTATCAAATGGCATAGAAAGGTTGCTAAAGAAAAAGACTAATAAGTGTCAGTTGTATTTACAAGTCCCCCAGAGTGTCTAAGGCAGGTTTTTGCTGTTCTCTTTCTAAGACATGGCTCTCCCAGGATCTGGTGTCCTATGCCTGAACTCCAGTACAGTGGTTATAATAATGTTATTTGTTGGCAGTTCTTCTCCTTGCCTAAACTCAGCCATGAAGTTATTCAACAGATCCCTTTGAATACCTAAAAATTTTCTGTACTCTATTACTTGGTGAGTAACAGAGGCAAGGATTTTCCATTTTCAGAAAAGTTACTGGCAAATTTAGAGAAAGAGCCATCGATCAATCAGATTAAGAACACATGCATAAATGTGTGGCTACACATTGTGAAGAGTGCTATTAAAAAACATTAAAGTTTGTTGTAATAACCATATCAGAGTCAAAATGCCATTCAGCAGTTTTTCAGGGCATGCCTTTTTGTGACTTTTAAGTGCAGCGATGGACAGTGAATAAGCATCGGTGAGAGAGAAGGAGAGGAAAATCCAAGCAAAGGGTCAGTGGGGCCAGTAACACAAAAATAAAGATAGAGATGAAGGCAATTTGAGAAAGCATATTTTTATGTCACATGTCCACTAATGACATATTCATTAGCCCTAAATCCATGAAATAGATAAAAATAATATTGTCCAAATACTAAAGGAGGTTAAAGTTATAGGCGAAAATGGCTTTACTATGATTTGAAGCAGTGCCATACAAAGTATAAGATGTTTGCTAATTCCTTTTTGGTTTTGTTTTGTATGTGGAGAGGTGCTTCTTTTATCTAAATAACTCAGATAATAATAACTATTATGCTTGATAAAGGTTTAGTGGTGCAATTTTCTATAGCGTCTGAGTGGAAAAGTAAAGTCATATCACCTTTCAGTTGACAATTGTCAAAAGCCACCAAAAAATATACGTTATCTTTTCCTTGTAATTCTATTCCTGAGAATTCAGCAATAGCAAGTAACTGAGTATATGAGTAAAGATTTAACTATAAAGGGACAATATGCTTTATTCATAGTAGCTTATAAAAAAAGGGATACGTATAAATATCTAGTATTAGATGGTAACTCAAATAAGTTGTCGGGATTCATACGAGTAAAAGTTCAAAACAAAATATATTACAAACATTTATCTCTTGGCCAGGAGCAGTGGTTCACGGCTGTAATTCTAGCACTTGGGGAGGCCAAGGCAGGTGTTTGAGGTCAGGAGTTTGAGACCAGCCTGACCAACATGACGAAACACCCTCTCTACTAAAAATACAAAAAAAATTAACCACGCCTGGTGGCACACACCTGTAATCCCTGCTACTCAGGAGGCTGAGGCAGGAGAATTGCTTGAAGCTGGGAGGCAGAGGTTTTAGTGAGCCAAGATCACACCACTGCACTTCAGCGTGGGTGACAGGGCAAGACTCCATCTCAAAAAAACAAAGCAAAACAAAACAAAACAAAAATACACATCTCTTAGGATATGATATTTTCATGCAGTGATTTTGAGTTTTAAAAGTTATTATATAGAGAATTCAGGTTTATTATTATTATTATTATTAATATTATTAGAGACCAGGTCTCACTCTGTTGCCCAGGCTGGAGTGCAGTGGTATGATAATAGCTAACTGTCACCTCTAACCCCTGGGTTCAAGACATCCTCCGGACTACAGGTACATGCCTCCATGCCTAGCTAATTATTTTTAAAAATTTTATGCAGACAGGATCTCCATATGTTCCCTACACTGGTCTTGAACTCCAGGTTCATGATTATTATGTATCTATAATCTTTATTTTAGATAACATCAACATATGTTTCAGCATATATATATAGACATATATGATGATATACTCCAAAATATAAAGCTATGTCTGGCTAGTCTATAACCATGTGTAATTTTTACCTTTCTATTTTGGCTTGGTTGAATTTTCTACTTATTTTATAATAATTATGTGGGTAATTATTACTAATCAAATACATTGGGGTTTTATATTAAATTACTATTGACCATTTTTGTGGAAAATTTCTGAATAGCAAATTCAAATATGTATAAAATTTTCTCCCACCTTTTAACTTGAATAACTATAAAAGTTCAATGAGACCTAGTTATTTATTTATTTATTTATTTATTTATTTATTTATTTTGAGATGGAGTCCTGCTCTGTTGCCCAGGTTGGAGTGCAATGGTGTGATCTCGGCTCACTGCAATCTCTGCCTCCCGGGTTGAAGCTATTCTCCCTGTCTCAGCCTCCTGAGCAGCTAGGATTACAGGCGCCCACCTCCACACCCAGCTAATTTTGTATTTCTAGTAGAGGCGGAGTTTCGCCATTTGGTCAGGCTGGCCTCAAACTCCTGACCTCAGGTGATCCATCAGCCTCTACCTCCCAAAGTGCTGAGATTACAGGAGTGATCCACTGCACTGGCCCGAGACCTAATTTATTTTTATGGAAACTTATTAGTAGTTGTTGGTATGAATTTAGCATTTTCACTTAACTTTTTAGTGACTTAGTGTATAAACATACAGCTTTCTTGATAAAGCAATAAGGAAATATATTTGTGATACAGGCATGTATGTCAAAAGACAGGAATATATTCTATACTGTTTAGTGAAATGTTGAGATGTTAAAGGTGCTAGGGAATAATTAAAATCAAAGAAGATAGATCTAGATCAATATTAAATTGCACTTAGTTATTAAATTATATGGAAATTTGAGGTAATACAATGATACAAAGGGGAAAAACTTATTTATGAATGAAGGAATAATGGTGCAAGGAAATAAAAATATATGTACAATAATGTCAAGACAAAAAAGAGACAATATATCCTGAAAATGTCATAATAATTGGCTTCCTCATTTTCAATGTCTTCCCATCCCAATTCATCTAGCACACTTCCTTTAAATTACTTTTGTCAATTTCTCCTTTTATCATTTAACTTTCCTGTTCAAAGTCATTTCTTCACTTTCTATTACTAATAGGCTGAACTGTGACTGCACGTTTTAGAATTTATGACCTTCAATAACCTGGCTGCAACCTATGTCTCTAGTTTGAATCACTGATACCAATCAACTTGTCAGAAACTATTACAGCATGTGTCATTAAAGCACTGCTTTCCACTCCTAAATCTCCTGCTGATAAATCTCTCCCTAGACTTCAAGAAGAGGGTTAATCTGGATTGCCCAAATTTCAGAATTTTTAACTTGACCACCATAGATAGGTTGATAAAGTTATTAAAGCTCTTAAATGATTAAAAGCATTTGTATATGGTACATATCCCTTTTCTCTTCTCTCAGGGCCCGCAAGTAGAGCTTTTTGCGCAAATATCTATACTCAGGACACTACTTGCGTCTAGATGAGTTCTTCCTGAAACATGGAAATAAATATGAATTAACTTCTTAGTTTTGGAAATATAATTTATACTCAAATTACAGAGGTGACATGGAGAGTCAGGTGGAAAAAATGAAGTTAATTTTTTGGGTTTCTTTGGTGCTTGGCTATGACTCAGGCTTTGTTTACCTGCAGTGATTCCTCCCATTTGGATTATCGAAGCTTCTACATTAGAATTCTGAAATGAATGTCTAGGTAATGAAGTACTTGGAGAGAAAAGAAAAGCCAGTCTTATTTTGTTCTTCATGTGTGTATATAGCTTCAAAGACTTATAAAAATAATGGACTATCAAGTTTCCCTCAATTTACATCATGCTCCTAGGCTTTAGTTACACCATTTCAAGTCATGTTACTGAAGACATCAAATCTTTTCTCTACCTAACTAGTGATCTTCTAATGGCCAGAGTATATGTATATTTATTTGTAGCTTCGTATCAACACAATGTAATGATGAGCACCTTAATACAAAAACAAAAGTCTATAGTGATGGGAATACATTTTATTTAAGTCACATATTCTCAATAATGAAGTAACATAATTTTCTTGGATTTCCACATTTGCCACAGACTTTTCTCTGCCTTTTGGTAATTATGCTTTCAATGTTTCCTTTCATGTGTATAAAACCAATAAAATAACTTATATGGGAACAGGACTTGAATAGACATTTTTTAAAGAAGATATGCAAATGGCCAATAAGCACATGAAGGAATGCTCAACATCCCTAGTCATTAGAGAAACGCAAATGAAAACCACAAAGAATGCCATTTCACACCAATTATGATAGCTATGATCAAAAACGCAGAATATAACAAGTATTGGAAAAGATGTAGGGAATTTGGAGCCCTTGTGTATTGCTGGTGGGACTGTACAGTGGTCGAGGCACTGTAGAAAACAGTATGTTAAATCTTTAAAACATTAAGTATAGAATTACTATGTGCTTTAGCAATTCCACTTCTGGTAATATATCCAAAAGAGGTCAAAGCAGGGAACTCAAACAGACATTTGTATACCAATATACAGATTTGTATACCAATATACAATAATCAGAGCGGCATGTTTTACAATAGATAAAAGGTGAAGAAAAAAACCAACCAAGTATCTATTGATGGATGAGCGAATAAACAAAAATGTGGCATGTAGATAAAAGGGAAACCTTAAAAGGAAGGAAATTCTGTGCCACGAAATTACAAGCTATGACATGGATGAAACTTGACGACATTATGCTAAGTGTAATAAGTCAATTGCAAAAGGATGAATACTTTGTAATTCCACTTATATGAGACACCTAGACACAAATCCAGAGAGATAAAAATAATATAGTGGTTGACAGGGTCTGAGGTGGAAGGGGGTTAGTGTTTAATGAGTATAGAGTTTCTGTTGGAAAAGATGAAAATGTTTTGGAGATGGATGGTGGTGATGGTTGCACAACAATGTGAATGTACTTAATGCCATGGAACTGTACACTTAAAATAGTACAAATGGTCAATTTCATGTTGTATATATTTGACCCCAATGGAAAATTGATTGTTAAATTAAAAAGCAAGTAATAGCAAACTCCAAAAATAATATTTTCAAGTGGGAGTTCTACCTCTGTAGCTTGACTGAAAACAGAACAATAGGATGTCCCTCAGTAATCACTGAGATGGGAGATTTTTCTGTCTATGGTTTGGCTTTAGAAAAAGATGTGCTCTGGCATATGTATGTATAAGTAAATCAAATGTTTTTTGGCATCGATTTTTTAAATAGCAATATAATCTTATTGTAATAAGAACCCAGATGTGTATATATATATATACATAGACGTGTATATATATATATACATAGACATATATATATATATATGGAGGGTATATTTAATATACTTTTTAATGATATAATATGCAGACATACCACTTTTAACATTACAACAATGTACAGATATCCATTATTTTATGTATTAATTGGCTCAAAACAAATTTATTGAGCATGTCGGCATATGTTATTTTTATCGCTCAGATGATTAGCATTCTTGAGATACGCAGAAGGCTAAGTTTAAACTTAATAATATCAAAAATGATATTTGCTTTCTTTACTGTATTTGGGTACTTAAAATAACTTGTATGTGTTAACAAGTGTCTGTTATAGGAAGATAAATTACAGGTTAGAAACATCATCAATAATAATTTTACTCTCAAATTCATGTTTCTCTGTATAAAAAAGTTTCAAGGAGAAGGCAACATTGAGCACAAATGATGGTCCAAGAAAATGGAAAGCAGTTCCAGAAGTATCAGATTTAAAGAAAATCACCCCCCAGATAGGTGAGAAAAGATCAAGATGGAGACACTTGAGGCACAGTCAGGTTCCCAGGTGCCCTGATCTGAATCTGAGTGCTGACCAGTGAGAGGGCTGGAGAAGTGGCATAACACAGGCAGGAAAGCCCAAATGTTCCTGCATATGAAATTCTCTTGTACTTGTATTTACCTTCTAGCTACCTCACTTCTCAGTCAGTTAATAGCACAACATGTTTCTCAACTGCACTGACTGATAGATATCCTTCCAGACTGAATCCTTTTGCTCCAAGCAAGTTATGGCAGCCTAGAGATTAATAGACGTTCATTGTAGACATTTAAATAAGGCTCGGGCTGCACAGGGCCTCACTCTAAGCATTCAAAGAAGAGAAATTCATAGTGGGCAGGGGTCAAAAATAAAAATCTCTTGTAACAGATAGAACTTGAAAATACATAGCATCACCAAGCAAATTTTAAAAATAAATAAATTAGAAAAGAAACAATATCAAGGACCCCTGAAGTATGTATAACATATTTTAAACTATTACATAAACATATATAAGAAGGGCTGACATTCAAATCATTCAACAAGCAATACCACACAGTCATTATTAAATAAGGATAGACCTCCATCATGGTGTGGGAATATGGGTGAGTAGGACCTTATTGTGCCCAGCTTAACAATTTGGTTGCTGAATTAACAATCAGAGGTCGGGGGTGGGTATCTAGGACTTTGTAATGATGGCAGAGGCAGGATGCATGGGTTTAGGAACTGAGGTGGTATAACTATTTACCAAAAGGAAGAAAACATTTCAATAATTTAAAAATAAATATGGCTAAACTCTTGCCTACTGGATGAATGTCAGCGCTGTATAAAGAATTTTTTTAAAAGAGTATTTTGTATGTTCCATGAAGATTTAAAATTGAACCTTAGCTGACAATGTATTCAGTTACCTCTTGCTGTCAGGGGCATTTTGGATTCCTAGAAGAGTTTATTTTAGAATACCATTAAATATACTCTGGCAGTGGCTTCTCTACTGAATGATGCAGAAAAGGCTACACCATTAAGTAGAGAAATCACTACTTTCAGAAGGGGATAAAGCCCAAGCAGCATCATCACAGTTTTTCACTTTTCTCCATCAGAAAGTCTTTCTATTTCAATGCACATTCTACTCAAATTTATTTTGCCCAATGGACTGTTAAAATAGAATGCAAAAAACTTATATTCCAGCAGTGGTTATGCTGATGCCCTAATCACTGCTTTGCAGATAATATCAAACAGCAAAGGTAAAACTAGTCATTTTGCCAATAGAGAAAAATTCTATTGGAATTGATTACTATTGTATGTAGAGAGGTCAAATGTTTTATATACATCTGCCTTGCCTGGTTAATTCTACTTTTACAGATTAGTTAGTCCTACTAAAGTAAATGGTGCTATATTTTGTTTAAAACATCAAAATTTCAATAGAATTTTATAAACACATGCTGCTGAAACTATGTACCTATTTGTAATTTACCTGTTGGATACATAAGATAAACAATTTCGTTTTGTTTATAACATACATGTTTGATCATTTATTTTAAAAGAATAAACAATCACATCAAATAGCATTCCTGCTCTTCTAATGAAAGTTATCAAAAACCTTAGAAAATTATCAAAAAGTTAGAAGAGACATGCACAATTAGATTATAGGAAATAATTTATGATGTTTTCATATATTAACATGTACATTTTTGTACACACCCATCATGTCATGTACAACATAGTGTTATTTGTACAGCGTCATGGAGATTATGTAACACAAACACACCTTTCTACATAGATATTATATGTCCTAATTGTTTTTACATAACATTATATCAATACTACTATAAATTCCAAATAATATTTTAATAATCATATGCAATTTAAACCAAATATATATAAACCATTTGTAGGTAATCCATTTTGTCAGGTATTTGATTTTTCAAATGTTTTGGAGCTGGAATGAATTTCTTTCTTTATGCAATTTTTCTTTCGCTACTTCTGATTTCATGCATTATAGATGATCAGTCATAGAATTACTGGTTTATAGGCACTTTTGTAACTTGTTACCTAGTCCAACAAAAGTATTTATTTTAGAAATAAAAGTCTATGGTAAATAAAAGCTGCCTACAAATGTTCATTGTGGACAGTTCAAATAGGCTTACTGGAGTCATTCAGAGAAGACGAAATTTAATATCCCACCAGATTTAAGCATCCAAATTTAACCATAATTAACTTATTGAGTATAAATTTTTTATTATTTCAAAACCTCTACATGTAGGTAGATGACAGACAGGCAGCTATAGATAGATATTTTATTAAGTATGATTTTGGAACTGGACTTTGTCATTTGATATATTACAAACAATGTTGATGTATTTTTTAAATCGATGTTGATAAATGATTTCTAAGAGTCTTCTACTCACCATTGGCTATATCAACATATTCCACTGGGCAGATATACATATCATATCATGTAAAAGTACAAAATTGCTTGACAATGTGTAAAACCTCAGGAAAAATAAAGGTGAAAAATCCCACAAACATAATTGAAAATGTATCTTAAATTCAGAGCAGTTATCTAGCAAACTGAGGCATTCAAGGTAGTAATACATACCTTAAAATTTTAATAAAGTGATATTTAAATTAATGAGACATTCCACCTATTATGGGCTGAGTTATTTCATTCCAAAAATCAGTATGTTGTTGTCTCAACCTTCTAATATCTCAAATAACTATATTTGGAGATACAGTCTTTAAAGGGGTAATTAAGTTAAAATTAGATCATTAGGATGTGCCCTAATTAAATATTGCTGATGTCATTATAAGAGGAAATTTATATGTAGACACATGCAGAAGAAATATGCCATATAAACACAAAAATGACCACCTACAAGCCAAAGATAGAGGCCTTAGAAGAAACCAATTCTGCTAATAACTCCATTGAAAACCAAACCTAGCATCCAGAAGTGTGATGAAGTAATTTTTTGTTGTGTAAGCCACCCAGTCTTTGGTATTTGGTTATGGTAGACCTAGCCAGCTAATATATTGCCTACAGTGGGACTTCGCTTTGGTTGGGGTATTCCACCATAAGGGAAGAGAACCCCAAGCTATATACCACAACTGCATAGACTTGAAATGCAATTTTCCAAATCGGAATCGAATTGAAAGAATTCAGCTTAAAAGATTAGGACCAGAGGAATGTGGAGATCTTAGCAGTATAGAGGAAATTAACACTTTTTTTAATAGAATTTTTATATAATCTAAGTAAAGATAGAAACTGATTTATTGTTTAAGAAGTGTTATGAAAAGAAATTATAGCCATCATCACAGGCTATTGAACCACTTTAAGAGTCTTCAGAAAAATAATGAAGAATTATTACTTCCAAGAATGTAAAATAATAGGCAAATGTCAAGAGATGACAAAATGTTTACTTTATATGATATGAAATGGAAAAAAATGAAAAAAATATTAAACAAGAAAGCATATTTTGAAAAAGGAAAACATACCAGTAGAAGTGAAATGTATTTATTAGGATTTGAATCTTGCCAACATATTGCTTTTCACTCTTTTAATAAGAGTAGTTGGCAAATATTTTTTCCCATTTTGTGAGTTCTTTCTTCACTGTGTTGATTGTTTCCTTTGCTATACAAGGGCTTTTTAGCTTGATGTAATCTCATTTTTCTATTTTTTATTGGGTTGCCTGTGCTTTTGAGGTCTTAGATAAAAACATTTTAACCAGACATATGTCCTGAAGTGTTTTCCCAATGTTTTCATCTAAGAGTTTTATAGTTTCAGGTCTTAGATGTAAGTATTTAATTCACTTTGATTTTTGTGTATGGTGAGAGATAGGGGTCTAGTTTTATTCTTCTGCATACAGATAACCAGTTTTCCCAGCACCATTTATTAAAGAGACTGTCATTTTCTCATTGTATGTTCATGGTGCCTTTGTCGAAGATTATTTGTTTTAAAAGCATGAATATATATCTGGGTTCTCCATTCTGTTTCATTGGTCTGTGTGTCTGTTTGATGACAGTACCATGCTGATTTGGTTACTATAATTTTGTAATAAATTTTTAGTTAGGTAATGTGATGCCTCCAGCTTTATTCTATTTTGCTCAGAATTACTTTGGCTACTCAGCATCTTTTGTGATTATAAAAATTTTAGGACTTTTTTTTTTCTATTTTCATGCAGAAAGATGTTAGTATTTTGATAGGGACTACTTTGAATCTGTAAATTGCTTTGGGTAGTATGGTCAGTTTAGCAATGTTAGTATGGTCACTTTAGCAATGTTAATTCGTCCAATCTGTTACCATAAAGTATCTTTAAATTTTTTGTGTCCTTTTTTTTCCCTCGGTGTTAAATAGTTTTCCTTGTATAGATATTTTACTTATTTGGTCAAATAGATTCTTAGGTATTTATATGATTTACAGCTACTGTAAATGATATTGCATTCTTGATTTCTTTTTCATATCATTTGCTGTTGTTGTATATAAATGCTACTGATTTTTCCTTGTTGATTTTTGTATCCTAACACTTTATTGAATTCATTCATCAATTCTAACAGTTTCTTGATGGAGTTTTTAGATTTTTCTAAGTATAAGATTATGCTACCTGCAAACAAGGGGAAATGGACTTCTTTCTTTCCTCTTTGAATGCCCTTTATTTCTCTATCTTGTCTAATTACTCTGGTCAGGACTTCCACTACAACATTTAAACGTAATGGCAAAAACCGCAATTAGTTTTGCATCGACCTAATAATAAAAGAGGTGAAAGTGAGCATCCAGTCCTTAAAAAAATGACCTTTAATTTTTCACCATTCATTATTATATTAGTGTGGGCATTTCATGTATGGCTTTTATTATTTTGAGGTATGTTCCTTTTATACCTAGTTTGATGAGGGATATTATCATAACAGAATATTGAATTTTACTGAATAACTTTTAAACATATATTTAAAAATTCATGTTTTTGTTCTTGGTTCTGCTAATGTGATGTATTATGTACATTAATTTTCATATATTGAACCATTCTTACATTCCTGAATGAATCCCACTTGAACATGGTGAATGGTCTTTTTAATGTGTTATTGAATTTCTTTTACTACTATTTTGTTAAGACTATTTATATCTGTGCTCATCATAGATATTAGTTTTATTTATTTTTTTCTGTTTTTGTTTGTTTGTTTGTTTGTTTTTTGAGATGGAGTCTTGCTCTGTTGCCCAGGCTGGAGTGCAATGATGCGATCTTGGCTCACTGCAACCTCCATCTCCTAGGTTCATATTCTCCTGCCTCAGCCTCCCTAGTAGCTGGGATTACAGGCACACACCACCATGCCCAGCTGATTTTTGTATTTTTAATAGAGATGAGGTTTCATCATGTTGGCCAGGCTGGTCTCGAACTCCTGACCTCAGGTGATCTGCCCGCTTTGGCATCCCAAAGTGCTGGGATTACAAGTATGAACCACTGCACCCAGCATTTTTTTCCTGTTTTATTAAAAGTTATTACTTGTATAAATTTAAAGGATGCAAGTGCAGTTTTGTTATGTGAATATAATGCATAATGATTGAAATCTGGGCTTTTAGTGTCAGGATCACCTAAATAATGTACATTGTATCCATTAGGTAATATTTCATTTCTCATCCCCCTTACAACTTCTTGCCCTTCTGTTTCCAATGTCTACTATTCCACATTCTATGTCTATGGGAACACATTATTTATCTCCCATTTATATGTGAAAGCATTTGAGTTTCTGTTTCTGGGTTATTTCACTTAAGATAATGGTCTCTAGTTCCGCCCATGTCTGTGCAAAAGACATGATTTTTGTATCAGGATAATGCTGGCCTCATAGAATGAATTTGGAAATATTTTCTTCTCTTAAATTTTTTTGAACAGTTTTAGTAGAATTGGTATTAGTTCTCCTTTGAATGTTTAGTAGAATTCAGCAGTAAAGACATCATGTTGTGACCTTTTTTAATGGCTTCAATCTCATTACAAGTTATTGGTATATTGAAGTTTTCTATTTCTTCAAGGTTCAATATTTGTAGGTTGCATGTGTTCAGGAATTTATTAATTTTTTCCAGGTTTTTCAATTTGTTGGCGTAAGTTGTTCATATGAGAATCTAATGATTCTTTATATTTTTTATTTTCATTTGTTTTGTCTCCTTTTTTGTTTCTGATATTATTTATTTGGGCTTCTATTTCTTCATCTAGCCAAAGGTTTGTTAATTTTATTTATCTTTTCAAAAACTAATTTTTAACTTGTTGATCTTCTATATTATTTTTTATTGTCTCAATTGTATTTATTTATGCTCTGATCTTTTTCTTTTATTTTACTAATTTAAGGATTGGTTTGTTCTTGCTTTTTAGTTCCTTGAGGTTTTTTGAAGTACTACTTTTTAAACATAAGAATTTGTTGATACAAACTTTGTTTTAAGTACTGTTTTTTTGCTGTAGCCCATAGATTTTGGCATATGGTATTTTAATTATCATCTGCTTTAAGAAATTCTTTAAATATTCTTCTTAGTTTCTTCATTGACCTATTGGTCATTTAGAAACATGCTGTTTAATTTCCAAGTGTTTGTGAAGTTTCTGAGGTTACTCTTTTTATTGATTTCTAATTTTATTCCATTGTGATGAGAAAAAAATACTTGATATAATTTCTACTGTTTTTGAATTTTTTCAGATTTGTTTTGTAGCCTAAGATATGGTCCATTTTGGAGAATGTTTTATATGAAGATGAAAGAAATATGTATTCTGCAGCAGTTGGGTGAAATGTTCTGTAACTCTCAGTTAGGTCTCTTTGGTCTAATGTGTAGTTTAACTCTGAGGTTTCCTTATAGATTTTCTATCTCTATGATCTGTCATCACCAAGAGTGGGGTGTTAAAGTTCTCTACTATTATTGTATTACAGTATATCTCTCCCTTCAGAGCTGTTAATATTTGCTTTATATACTTAGGAGCTCTGATGTTAAGTGCATAGGTTTTTAAAATTGTAATATCTCTTTACTAAATTGATCCATTTATCATTATATAGTGACCTTCTTTATTTCTTTATACAGTCCTTGATTTGTATTCTATTATCTGATATAAGTATTGCTACTCTTGCTCTGTTGTGGTTTTCCATTTGCATTTAGATGTGAGAAGCATTCTTGATTGTAATGTAGCCATGCATATCAATTTTCTACTTTATAATATTGTTTAAGTAACCGATCCTTAGTCCAAGTCAGCAGATATTCCCCAATGTTATCTTTCAGAAGTGTTATTATTTTACCATTTTACCTAGATTGATTTTTATTTTTGGTGTATATAAGAGTCAAGTTTCTTTTTGTTTTTCTTTTTCTTATAGAATCCAAAAGACTCAGCACCATTATTGAAAAGTCAAAGCTTTTCCACTGTTCTTTGTCATAAATCCAATGACCAGCTCTGTGGAAATCTGTTTCTGGATTTCTATCTTGTTGTGTTCTGCCAGTAACATGTAACAGAAGCTATTTGTAGCATATATAGGCAATAAATGTCTCATATCGAGAAGATGCAGAGAATACCTATAAATTAATTAGGTATTCTCTACTGAGTTTTCTCAATAGAGAAAACTCAATACAGAAACGGCTTAAACTACTTTAAAGTTCATATGGAACCAAAAAAGAGCCCACATCGCCAAGTCAATCCTAAGCCAAAAGAACAAAGCTGGAGGCATCACACTACCTGACTTCAAACCATACTACAAGGCTACAGTAACCAAAACAGCTGTTTTGGTACCAGTACCATAACAGAGATATAGATCAATGGAACAGAACAGAGCCCTCAGAAATAATGCTGCATATCTACAACTATCTGATCTTTGACAAACCTGAGAAAAACAAGCAATGGGGAAAGGATTCCCTGTTTAATAAATGGTGCTGGGAAAACTGGCTAGCCATATGTAGAAAGCTGAAACTGGATCCCTTCCTTATACCTTATACAAAAATCAATTCAAGATGGATTAAAGACTTAAACGTTAGACCTAAAACCATAAAAACCCTAGAAGAAAACCTAGGCATTACCATTCAGGACATAGGCATGGGCAAGGACTTCATGTCGAAAACACCAAAAGCAATGGCAACAAAAGCCAAAATTGACAAATGGGATCTAATTAAACTAAAGAGCTTCTGCACAGCAAAAGAAACTACCATCAGAGTGAACAGGCAAAGTACAAAATGGGAGAAAATTTTCGCAACCTACTCATCTGACAAAGGGCTAATATCCAGAATCTACAATGAACTCAAACAAATTTACAAGAAAAAAACAAACAGCCCCATCAAAAAGTGGGCGAAGGACATGAACAGACACTTCTCAAAAGAAGACATTTATGCAGCCAAAAAACACATGAAAAAATGCTCACCATCACTGGCCATCAGAGAAATGCAAATCAAAACCACAATGAAATACCATCTCACACCAGTTAGAATGGCAATCATTAAAAAGTCAGGAAACAACAGGTGCTGGAGAGGATGTGGAGAAATAGGAACACTTTTACACTGTTGGTGGGACTGTAAACTAGTTCAACCATTGTGGAGGTCAGCGTGGCCATTCCTCAGGGATCCAGAACTAGAAATACCATTTGACCCAGCCATCCCATTACTGGGTATATACCCAAAGGACTATAAATCATGCTGCTATAAAGACACATGCACACGTATGTTTATTGCGGCATTATTCACAATAGCAAAGACTTGGAAGCAACCCAAACGTCCAACAATGATAGACTGGATTAAGAAAATGTGGCACATATACACCATGGAATACTATGCAGCCATAAAAAATGATGAGTTCACGTCCTTTGTAGGGACATGGATGAAATTGGAAATCATCATTCTCAGTAAACTATCGCAAGAACAAAAAACCAAACACCACATATTCTTGCTCATAGGTGGGAATTGAACAATGAGAACACATGGACACAGGAAGGGGAACATCACACTCTAGGGACTGTTGTGGGGTGGGGGGAGGGGGGAGGGATAGCACTGGGAGATATACCTAATGCTAGATGACGAGTTAGTGGGTGCAGCGCACCAGCATGGCACATGTATACATATGTAACTAACCTGCACATTGTGCACATGTACCCTAAAACTCAAAGTATAATAATAATAAATTTAAAAAAAAAAGAGAAAAGACTTAAAGAGTTACCTCAAAAGAGAAGATAAACAAGTTGCTAGTAAACCTATGAAAACTTTCTCCATTATGTTAATCACCAGGGAAATTTCCATTAAAACCTGAATGACATAACACTATAAATCAAAAAGAAAGATTAAAAATGAAAGAAGACTCACAATACCAAGGGTTTGCAAGAAAGGAAAGAAAAGATAATTGTCATTTCTTTTTCTGGAATAACGTAAGTTAGTACAGATTATTGGAAAATACATTAGGAGGTATCTGCCAAATTCCAAGATATGCATGCATATTTATAGCAAAAGACATCTGAAACACATTCATATTGAAACACTGAATGCAACCCTTCAACAACAGAATGAATGGAAGAATAATTTTATGTTTATAAAATACATTACTACACAGAAAATTAAATTAAAAAATAAATATCTGCTTATACCAGTATAATGGGTACTACTAGGTGTTCAAAAATCTTATTTTATAAAGTCAAAAATAATCAAAAATGATTATGGATTTAAGGTATTAGAAGTAGTAAAATTAGTGATCACTTTGGGAAGGAAGGACAAGTGTTTGGGAGGAGCAGGAAGGGACAGTTCTAATATTTCTTAGCCTGCATGGTTGTTACCTAGTTATGTACTCCGAAAGTTTTTAATAAATTTTAAAGTTATCTACATATGAACCTATGAAAAATATACAGAAACACATATGACCAATGTATGTTTTTAAATTATATGTAAATAATTCTAGAAAACAGTTCATTAGCAGTCAATAGATGTTAAGAAATTTCAGCTAAAAATCATAGTGACAATATAGCATATGAAACTATTGAGGATTAAAGCAACAAGGAAAAAAGACAGTTCTTAAAAATTGAAAGGCTATCAAAACAAATGAAACTAACTATATATCAAGTTGTTTATATAACCACACTGGATAAAAATTATTTCAAATGTTTTTAGAACACTGTATTCTTATAGTTTATTCTTAGCTGAATACATTTTATAGTGAAACAAAATGCAAATACATCTCAGAATTTATTCTGCCATCATATTTTTGAAAGTAACACTGTTATTATTACTTTGAAATTAGACATGTATGTTGAATATAGATAGATGTTGATGTAACAAATAGGTAATTACGCTAAAGTTAGATTTTTCAGTATAAAAGAATAAGGAAATGCAAATTCAAAATCAAAAAAATTTTATAACCATTTAAAATAATAAACATGAATTTTAAATATCAATGTAAGTTTATGAATTTTAAATCCACCTTATTTCTGTCAGTGAAATGGAAGTATGAACATATGAACTAAGCAGCCAAGATGACCAAGCTTAATGTCGTCCCATGACAAGTCCCATGTATCAACGCTGGCCTAGCTACTGTGCCTGTGAGAATTCAACCTGTCATGACAGATTGATGTTGAGCTCTGGGTAAGGTATGCGCTATTGCTTACAGAGACCAACAAGTCACTTGGTGACAAATTAAGCAGCATGTGTGTGGGCTGCTCTTCTACTTTGCCCCTAGCAAGGCCGTACACTATTAACCGTCTTCACAAATCTTTGTCAGTTAGGCCCGTTGTCTTGCCCTTTGACCTTGCCAGTCTTAACAGTAGTTGCAGCCTCCTGGCAGTTAAGTGCTGACTCCTGACCTCTATCACGTTGGGGTCCGTCCCATCATCCAGCTTTGTGGCTGCCCCTCCTATGTCAGCCCTGGTCTGCAGAGAAAAACTTCTTCTTGATGTCAGTGTCCCCTCGCCTCATGGTCTTGGTGAATGATGAGCCTTCTGGTCTTTCCCATGGTACATAAATCTCTGATGGGTTTTCTGACCTTATATAATACATCCAAACCAGAATGCCTACTTCCTTTAACCTCGTTCTTCCTTCTTCTGCCATCTCCTAGGGCAGCTCAGACAATTTCTCCTCACTTATTGCTAGCCATTGTTTTTCCCAGGCTTCCAAGGCAGTAGCAATTTTTTTCTATTGCTTGAATTTTCTCCTGGTGTATTAAGTCCTATGCCCTGAAAAAGGATCCCCAATTCAATCAATATTTCCTTACTTACTCTTATATTTTTGTCCCCTTGATAAAAAAAGGCTCAAGATCCAATCCTAAGAATGTTCTCCTGACTCCAGTCCATAGATGCTGGCTATTTGTTATAATTCTTGGTATATGGTCCACAGAGTCCTAATATCCTTCTGATAACATCAATGTAACTTAGCAGTAAGCGGCCAGTTCTGCGGTCTTTATAGGCACTGCTCCTTCTGCCACCCGTATTTTTTGGATGTCACATATGCTACAGCAGTCCCCTCCACTGGAACTTTACCAAAGTAATTGCCTGTGGAATATTTAGCAGTTGAGACACTATCTTATGCCAGAGTAATCTGCACCTAACCTAGCAACTTTATCCTACCTGTAATGCATGATGCCTGAGCCAGTCCCTAATTCCACATCTTATCACTTGTATTCTTGAAACATTTCAGATATCACTTGTGTTAGTCTCAATCCTCTAAGAGGTAGATTCCTAGACTGAATTATTTGTCCATGTGATTGATTAAGAGAGGAAAATGGGGAAAGGGCCAAGAAAGACTGGGAGAACTACCAGACTATGATACAGATCAGATCTCAGATGAAGGAGAGTGATAAAAAAGGAAGATTGAGTGAGTATCGTACAGTGCAAAGAAGGTCTAAGAGTCCAGGAAGGCCGTTTTAAATCGAAAGTCACTTCTCAGTTTAGTCTCATGTCTCCCAGGAACAAAATGAACTTAATATCTCTGCCACGCTCAGTTTTTGGATGAAGTCTTCTGTGAAGTGGGGCATTAGTGGGAACACAGTGATAAATTACAGAGTATAGCAGCTAGAGCCATCAGTCAACTGACTGTACTCTCCATAGTCAGAGAACTTACAGGCACATATTCGTGGCTGACGCATGTATAAATAGTTATGCAAATCTAAGTGTAGACATATAGATGTAGCTTTAACATATTCAGTATATTTAAAAATTTAATTGTCAGGAATTGAGTAAATTTAATATACTGTGTCTTATATTGGACACAGAGATATACAATGTTTATTTCTGATGACCAAGTGTACTTATTTAGGTACAGTAATAATGCATTAGATAACTGAATGGAACATAATGAGTATCCAATGGAGGACAAAAATCAGATGTATTTGGTAGGCCATGCAAGTATTCAGAGATGAAGCATGTAAGATAAATATGTACGCCAAGACTAATAAGAGTAAGGGCTAGCTATGGAAGAAAAACTACAAGCATAAGGATTTTTCTGAAAAAGGTCATTGGTGAATGAAAAAAAATATGACACAGTAAGGAAATTATTAGTGTTTTGACAAGACATCAGTGTAAAGAATGAATCAGAGGAATTTGAAAACAAGTGAAGACAAATAGGCTGAGAGAAAAGTTCTAGGATGCCATGTAAAAAAAACTTGTGGCCATAGAAAGAAGTAGGCACTTCTGTGTACATAAGGAGATCCATAGGTGAATTTCAAATATGGCAGTTTTATGATCAGAAATATATATATATAAATTCATTTTGTAAATATTTACTGAGCCTATTCTGTGTTCCAGAATTTGTCACAGGAAATTAGAAAAGTCAGTAAATACTATAGACTAAACCTGGGCAAATAGAGCTTATGTCCTGAAGATAGAGAAATAAAAACTAAAAATTATCAATAATATATTTCTATGCTATTAAGTGGAACATGGTATGTGGGAAAGAGTAAAGTTGGAAAAGGGGATTGGGAGTGAGGGAATGAAAGTGTTCTTCTATGGAGCATAAGTCTACTTATTCCAGAGGTTCAAGAGAGATTAAGGAAGGAGGAATAGAAGTCACAGAGTATAGGTGATACCAAGGAAATTTTCTGTAAAGAGGATCAGAGGGATATAACAGAGCACAAAGTTTTAGAGAAAGGTCAAGTCAAGGGAGGGTTTTTAGGATAAGATAAAGGTAACAGTATGTTGTCAAGCAGATAAAATTAATGTAGTAGAGAGTAAAACCTATAAGACTGCAGAGAGAATACTCCAAATTACATTCTGGAATAGGCAAGAGTGAATGATATCTCACACGAAATTGGAAGGCTGTTCTTATCTAGAGCAAAAGGCAAAAAGGCAGAGTGTATATGTCAAATGCTGGTAGATGGGTAGAAAATTTAGAAACTATGTATAACTAAAGTGCTGAGAATTGGTTTGTTTGGATATAGAATTTTAGGCAAGGGGAAATTTAGGAATCTATTATAATAATTCATGTGAGAGGATAAAAGTCAGAAATGAGTGTTGAAAATGTCACAAAATACATGTGCAGAAATAGGTGGCAAAGTTGATGTAGGTGGAATGAGAATGAGGCATGTCTAAGACAACTCCTGGATTTTACCTTCTTTGACTGATGATGTGAAAATGCCAGACTTCCAGATGAAATAGAAGTGAAAGGTGCTCTGTGTTACTGCTAGTGAGTAGAGTGCGTAATATAATGACTTGCTGATATCCAGGAGTCATTTATGTTGGATCCATTTTAGTGGGGTTCAAGAAATATAAGGATGCAGATATTGTGATGAAGCTCTACGTGGATATGTAACATGAGACAACAGAAGCATCAATATTTAAGGGAGGGCAGATGGGGACCTGCTGAGAATGATCAAAAGCCAAGACAGAGGCAATAATAAGAGGAAGTTCATAATGGAAATATTAGTTGGGAAATGAAATTAGCACAATGTTTCTATAATTAGGAAATATTTGAGGAGTTCTTCCAAGAAACAATTACTGGAAGTGTAAGATGAAATCTTGACCAAAGTATATTAGGAAGAAAATGATAGCAAAGAAAATACAATTATTCTCCAAATCACTATTTGGTGTTAGTTGGAAACCTAGTTTTATGACTTTAGGCAGCTTCAAATTTATAGCAAAATATCAAATTCTATCAGCAGTATTGTTTTTCAGTTATCTCAGATATTTTTGTTCCCTGTTTGAAAAGGCCCAAGGGCAATTACTTTCACTTGATTGTTATTTGAGAGCCCAAGCCTGGCAAGATTCAAAAGCATCCAGGAAATCCATTCTTGGACATAGAGATACAAGTTTAGGTATCTCCTCTCTCCTACTCTGCCCTTCTGCTTGTACCCTACATGCATTACCTCCAAAAAAAAATGAGAAATGCAATCCAAATAAAATTTTCCTAAGAGTGTTCACCATGCAACAATGTTGAACTTTCCTTTTAGTCTGTATTTGGAGTGTGACTTACTGGTATGAATTCCTATTTTAGTACAGATCCTGCTGTTTCTAGAACTATCTGGACTCTACACAATTTACTCTCTATCCATCTGTTTCTACTAACACAAATAGAGAGGTATCTATCTCTACATATTATCAAATTAAATGCATATAGGTTCATGATTCCAGATCACTTTAAAAAATAATTAAAAAATTAACATTACAAATTGTTTTTGCAACATTTTATACTGTCTTACTAAGCTGTTTTGTCATTTCATGTGTTTACATTATCTTATGCAAAACAATATTCCCAAATATAATTACTACTCCGATTTAAATATTTTCCTTTGCCATTTAAAATTTACAACAGAGGACTAGTAAACTAGCAGTCAATCAAATCTTGAACATAGGAGATACACAATTTAAACTGATTCATATGCAATATTTATAGTAAAGAATTTGGATGCTAAAGTAGTATGCATCACAAAAATTTTAAAACACTTTATATTATATTTTTATTTCTATTTTCATGAACTACATACTAATTCATTTAATCAACTGCATATTGTTATGTACCTGTGTGTGTTTATAAGTTTATATTATCACAACTTGAAAAATATTATACATGAGAGTCCTCCTTAGGTTGTTCTCTTTGCATACTTTTACATTAGTTCAAGCATTTAAAAACTAATATTTCTTTCCAAAAATCAATTAAATGTTACACACTTACTGGCTTTCTCTATATCAAGACCACTTTCTACTCCTCTCTAAAGAGTGCTGGTTACATTAATTGGATAATGAGGAAATTAAGGGATTGGCAGTGGAGTGGGAGGTACTGAAAATAATATAATGTAGTAGAAGTCGTATCTATAGCAAGATTTGTTGACAGAAAAAGAAAATCTTTAGTAGCAATGCATGCTGAGAAGTAGATGCCTTATACTTTACTACTTCTAAATACTGGAGATCTGGCTGTGAGGGATAGACATAACATAAACCAAGATGATCACACTTCTTTTTAAATAAATGCCAGCTAGAACATTTTAATTCAGAGTAAATCTTACCAACTTGCCTTTCAGCTAAATATATTTAATGGAGATTTTGGCTATATATATATTTATAGAAAAGTTGACACGTGTAAAACACACACTGTCGGTTCATAAATATGTCTAGATTCATCTTGTAGCAATTAATGCATATATGTAGTAACTAATGAACTTGAGTGTAAAAGTGATAGAAAATGATAAGAATCATGATTACCTTTGATGAGGCTTACCATGAAAGTAAGCAACAGGGTCTTCTCTCTGTGACTTAAGAAAGGTGAATTTATAAGTAAGAATAGAGGGAAAGTGATGATATTCACATATAAGAACATGCAGGCAATATATAGTGAGGTGTAAAATGGCTTTTATGAGTAATTAAATATATACTAACTAGGGAATATCTAAAAATAATGCTTAATACCTTTGTTTCTTTTAGAAAATTTTTGATTTATATAATTGAAAATGAAAGAAAAAAATGCCCAAATGGAAACTTTTTAAAAATGGTAAAAAATAAATAAAATTTATTGATTCATTAAAATATTAAATAAAGTACTTTTATTCAAATATTAGTACGAGCCTTTATCCAATGAGAGCCTCTTTTCTGTTTTCTATGTTACTATAAATAATTGAATCAAACTTGTTTATTCTCCTTATTTGGAAGTATGTATTTAATTCATTTCATTTATGACCCTTTAGTGAATATGTATATGTTTACCTATAAGAAAACAATCAACATTTATTATCTGAAATCCTGTTTCCCAAAGAAATATGAAAAATCAAAATTATATCTTTAGTAATATCCCATGGTTGAAAAAACACATATAACAAGAGTGTTACTCATAGGCAGAAATTGCATTAAAACTAAAATTTTTATTTTTATTTATTTTTTATTTAAACTTTTATTTTAGGTTTGGGACTACATGTGCAGTTTTGTTATATAGGTAAGCTCTGTCATGGGGGTCTGCTGTACAGATTATTTCATCAAGAGGTGACTTGGCTGCTGTTAAAGGCATTCAGTCTCATAAGAGAAGCAGAGCACAAAAGTTTGGAAAATTTGCAGCCTGCCAATTTTATAGAAAATAATATTCCATTTTCTGAGGAGAAATTCAAGCCAGCTGCAGAAATGTGCATAAATAATGAGAAGTCAAATGTTAATTCCTAAGACAATGCGGAAAATGTCTCCAGGGCACGTCAGAGGTTTTCACAGCAGCCCCTCTCATCACAGGCCCAGAGGCCTAGGAGGAAAAAAAAATGGTTTTGTTGCCTGGGCCAAGGGTCCCTGTGCTGTGTGCAGCCTAGAGACTTGGTGCCCTGAGTTCCAGCCACTCCTGCTGTGGCTGAAAGTGGCCAATGTAGAGTTCAGGCCATGGCTTCAGAGGGTGCAAACTCAAAGCCTTGGCAGCTTCCGTGTGGTATTGAGCCTGTGAGTGCACAGAAGCCAGGAATCAGGGTTTGGGAACCTCCACTTAGGTTTCAGATTTATAGAAATGCCTGGATGCCCAGGCAGAAGTTTGCTACAGGGGCAGGGCCCTAATGGAGAACGTCTGCTAGGGCAGTGCAGAAGAGAAATGTGGGGTCAAAGCCCCCACACAGAGTCCCTACTGGGGCACTGCCTAGTGGAGCTGTGAGAAGAGGGCAACCATCCTCCAGACCAGACTGGTAGATGCACTGACAGCTTGCACCATTCACCTGGAAAAGCCACAGACACTCAAAGCCAGCCCATGAAAGCAGCTGGGAGAGAGGCTGTACCCTGAAGAGCCACAGGGCTGGAACTACCCAAGACCATGGGAACCCACCTCTTGCATCAGCATGACTTGGATGTGAGAAATGGAGTCAAAGGAGATCATTTTGCAGCTTTAAGATTTGACTGCTCTGCTGGATTTTGGACTTGAATGGGGCCTGTAGCCCCTTTGCTTTGGCCAATTTCTCCCATTTGGAATGACTGTATTTACCCAATGCCTGCACCCACATTGTGTCTAGGAAGTAACTAACCTGCTTTTGATTTTACAGGCTCATAGGTGGAAGAGACTTGCCTTGTCTCAGATGAGACGTTGGACTATGGACTTTTGAGTTAATGCTAAAATTAGTTAAAATTTTGAGGAACTGTTGGGAAAGCATGATTAGTTTTGAAATGTGAGGACATGAGATTTTGGAACGGCCAGGACTGAAATTATATGGTTTGGCTGTGGACCCATGCAAATCTTCTCTTGAATTGTACCTCCCACAATTCCCATGTGTTGTGGGAGGAACCCGGTGGAAGGTGATTGAATTATGGAGGTGGGTCTTTTCTGTGCTATTCTCGTGATGGTGAATGAGTCTCACAAGATCTGACAGTTTTAAAAATGAGAGTTTCCCCACACAAGCTCTCTTTTTGCCTACTGCCCTCCATGTAATACATGACTTGCTCCTCCTTGCCTTCCACCATGATTGCAAGGCCTCCATGTGAAACTGTAACTCCATTAAACCTCTTTCTTTTCTAAATTGCCCAGTCTCAGGTCTGTCTTTATCAGTAGTATGAAAATAGACTAATATATGTTCTCATGATTTAGCTCCCACTTATGAGTAAGAACACGTGGTATTTGGTTTTCTATTTCTGCATTAGTTTGCTGAGGATAATGGCCTCCAGCTCCATTCATGTTTCTGCAAAAGTCATGATCTCATTTTTTTATGGCTGCATAGTATCCCATGGTGTATATATACCACATATTCTTTATATAGTCTACCATTAATGGACATTTAGGTTGATTCCATGTTTTTGCTATTATGAATAGTGCTACAGTGAACATAGGAATGCATGTGTCTTTATGACAGAACAATTTCTATTCCTCTGGGTATTTACCCAGTCATGGGATTTCTGAGTTTAATAGTAGTTCTGCTTTGAGCTCTTTGAGGAATAACTACATTAATTTTCACAATGGCTGAACTAATTTCACTCCCACAAACAATGTGTAAGCATTCTCTTCCCTCCACAATGTTGCCAGAATCTGTTTTTTTTAGAGGGAGTTTCGCCTCTTGTTGCCCAGGGTGGAGTGCAATGGTGAGATCTTGGCTCACTGCAACCACCCGCTCACAGGTTCAAGTCATTCTCCTGCCTCAGCCTCCTGAGTAGCTGAGATTACAGGTTTGCACCATCAAACACAGCTCATTAAAAAAAAATTATTAGAGATGGGGTTTCACCATGTTGCCCAGGCTGGTCTCGAATTCTTGATATCAGATGATCCACCCACCTTCCAAAGTGCTGGGATTACAGGCATGAGCCACTGCACTCAGCCAAGCTTTTTTTTATATGCTTGTTGGCCACATGTATGCTTCTTTCAAAAAGTGTCTGTTCACGTTCTTTGCTTATTTAATAGGATCTTTTTTTCTTGTAAATTCAAGTTCCTTATAGGTGTTGGATATTATACTTTTGCCAGATACATAATTTGCAAATATTTTCTCCAATTTTGTAGCTTGCCTGTTCTCTCTGATGATAGTTTCTTTTACTGTGTAGAAGCTCTTTAGTTTAATTTGAACCCATAGGTCAATTTTTGCTTTTGTTGCAATTGTTATTGGCATCTTCATCATGAAATCTTGCCTGTGCCTATGTCCTGATGGTATTGCCCAGGTCATTTTCCATGGTTTTTATAGCTCTGAGTTTTATATTTAAGTCTGTTTTGTTTTGTTTTGTTTGAGACGGAGTCTCACTCTGTGGCCAGGCTGGAGTGCAGTGGCATGATCTCAGCTCACTGCAAGCTCCGCCTCATGGGTTTACACCATTCTCCTGCCTCAACCTCCCAAGTAGCTGGGACTACAGGCGCCCATCACCATGCCCAGCTAATTTTTTGTATTTTTAGTAGAGATGGGGTTTCCCCATGTTAGCCAGGATGGTCTTGATCTCCGGACCTTGTGATCCACCCTCCTCGGCCTCCAAAAGTGCTGGGATTACAGGCATGAGCCACCATGCCTGGCCTATATTTAAGTCTTTAATCCATCCTATGTTGATTTTCGCATATGGTGTAAGAAAGGGGTTCAGTTTAAATCTTGTGCATATCGTTAGCCAGTTATCTCAGCACCATTTATTGAATAAGGAGTCCTTTCCCCATTGCTTGTTTTTGTCAGCTTTGTAGAAGATCAGATGATTGTAGCTGTGATGCCTTGTTTCTGGGCTCTCTAATCTGTTCCATTGGCCTATGTGTCTATTTTTGTACCAATACCATGCTATTTTGGTTACTGTAGCCCCATAGTATAATTTGAAGTTGTGTAAAGTGCTGCTTCCAGCTTTGTTCTTTTCCTTAGAACTGCCTTGGCTATGCAGGCTACTTTTTTCTTCCATATAAATTTCAAAATTTTTTTTTCTGGTTCTCTGAAGAATATCATTAGTAATTTGATAGGCATAACATTGAATCTATATATTACTTTGGGGAGTATGGCAATTTTAATGATATTGATTCTTCCTATTGATGAAAATAATACGTTTTTCCATTTGTTTATGTCAACTCTGATTCTTTTGAACAGTGTTTTGTAATTCTCTTTCTAGAGATTTTTTACCTCCCTGGTAGCTCTATTCCTAGGTATTTTATTTCTTGTGTGTGGCAGATCTGAATGGGATTGCATTCCTGCTTGGTTCTTGGCTTCATTGTTGTTGGTGTATAGAAATGCTTGTGATTCTTGTACAATGATTTTGTATCCTGACACTTTCCTGAAGTTGTGTATCAGTTTAAGGCATTTTAAGCTGAGAATATGAGGTTTTCTAGATATAGAATCATATTGTCTACAAATATAAATATTTTGGCTTCCTTTCTTCCTGTTGGCATGCCCTTTATTTCTTTTCCTGGCCTGATTGCTCTGGCCAGAACTTTCAATACTATGTTGAATAGGAGGGGTGAGAAAGGGTATCTTTATCTTGTGCCAGTTTTCAATGGGAATGTTTCCAGCTTTTGGCAATTTAGTTAGATGCTGGCTTTGGGTTTGCCATAGTTGGTGCTTATTATTTTGAGGTATGTTCCTTCAATACATAGTTTATTGAGAGTTTTTAATATGAAGGGATATCAAATTTTATCATAAGCCTTTTATGCATCAATTGAGATAATCATATGGGTTTTTTTAATTTAGTTATGTTTATTTGACTAATCATATTTATTGATTTGCATATGTTGAACCAACCTTGTATCCAGGATAAAGCCTACTTGATCATGGTGGATTAGTTTTTGATTTGCTGCTAAATTCAGTTAGCTAGTATTTTGTTGAGGATTTTTGCATCAATGTACATCAAGAATATTGGTCTGAAGTGTGTGGAGGTGTGTGTGTGTGTGTGTGTGTGTGTGTATCTGCAAGCTTTTGATATCAGGATGAATCTGGACTAATTGAATGAGTTGTGGAGGAGTCCCTCCTCCTACATTATTTGGAGTAGTTTCAGTAGGAATGGTACCAGCTCTTCTTTGGACATCTGGTAGAATTCAGCTGTGAGTCCATCTGGTCCAGGGCTTTGTTGTTGCTGTTGTTGTTGGTAGGCTATTTATTACTGATTCTATTTCAGAGCTTATTATTGGTCTTTTCAGGGATTCAAATTCTTCCTGGTTTAGTCTTGGGAGGGTGTATGTGTCTAGGAACTTATCCTTTATTCTATATTTTCTAGTTTCTGTTCATAGACATGTTCTTAGTAGACAGTCTCTGATTTCTTTTGTATTTCTGTAGGGACTATGGCAACATTCCCTTTGTCATTTCTATTTGTGTTTATTTGGATCTTTTTTCTTCTGTATTAGTCTAGCTAGTAGTTTGTCTTACTAAATTTTTTTCAAAAAAACAACTCCTAGATTTGCTGATCTTTTAAATGTTTTCCTTACCTCAATCTCCTTCAGCTTAGCTTTGATTTTTGTTATTTCTTGCCTTCTGCTAGGTTTGGAGTTAGTTTGCTCTTGCTTCTCGCATTGTTTTACTTGTGATGTTATGTTGTCAATTTGAATTCTTTCTAACTTTTTGTTGTGGGTAGTTAGTGGTATAAATTTCTTTCTTAATACTGCCTTAGTTGTGTCCCAGAAATTCTGGCATGTTGCATCTGTGTTCAGATTAGTTTCAAAGAACTTCTTGGCTTCTGCCTTATTTTCATTGTCCAAAAGTCATTAAAAAGCTGGTTGGTTGATTTTCATGTAATTCTATAGTTTTGAGTACTTTTCTTGATCTTGTTTTCTATTTTTATTGTGCTGTGGTCCAAAAGAGTGTTTGTTATATTTTTGGTTCTTTTGCATTTGCTGAGGATTGTTTTATGTCCCATTGTGTGGACAACTTTAGGGTATCTGCTATGTGGTGATAAGAAGAATGCATATTCTGTTGCTTTGGTTGAAGAGCTCTGTGGATGGCTATCAAGTCCCTTTGGAACAGTGTTGAGTTCAGATCCTTAATATCGTCAAGTGGGGTGTCGAAGTCTCCCACTATTATTGTGTGGGAGTCTAAGTCTCCCTGAAAGTGTCTAAGAACTTGCGTTATGAGTCTAGTGTTCCTGTGTTGGATACATATATATGTAGTTAGGTCTTCTTGTTGAATTTAACCTTATACCGTTATCTAATGTCATTCTTTGTCTTTTTTGATCTTTGTTAAAGTCCCTTTTGTCCAAAATTAAGATTCCGACCCCTGCTTTTTTTCTGTTTTCCATTTGTTTGGCAGATTTTCCTCCATCCCTTTATTTTGAGCCAATGAGTGTTATTGCCTGTGAGATGGGTCTCTTGAAAACAACATACCGTTGGCCCTTGCTTTTTGTCCAGGTTGCCACTCTGTGCCTTTCAAGTGGGGCATTTAGACCATTTACATTCAAGGTTAGTATTAATATGTTTGGATTTTATTCCATTATTTCGTTGTTAGCTGGTTATTATGCAGACTTTTGTGTGGTTGCTTTATAGTGTCACTGATCTTTGGACTTAAGTGTGATTTCGTAGTGGCTGGTAATGGGCTTTCCTTTCCACAGTTAGTGTTTCTTTCAGGAGCTCTTGGAAGGCTCCTCATTTTATTGTGATTCATACCTTCCTTGGATTGGGTTTCAATGTTCTCCTGAATCTCAATTCTCTTTGCTTATATCTATATTCTATATTCTATTCCTGTCTATTCAGCCATCTTGTTAAGAACCCTTGATGGACAGCTAGTATGGATTTATGAAAGAAATAAGGCACTCTCACTTTTTGAGTTGTCAGAGTTTTTGCACTGGTTCTTTCTTATCTTTGTGGGCTGATGTTTCTTCAATCTTTGAAGTTGCTGTCCTTTGGATGGGTTTTTAAAAATTCTCTTTTATCCTTTTGATGACCTTGTGGATAGAGCAGACTGAGAAGTGCTCAGTTTGGACTGGCCTCGTCTCATGGGCAAGCCCACTCTGAAGAGTTCAGGTCCAACAGTTTCCGCTAGTTTCCTATGGGAGCAAGTTGTGCCTATGGTGATGGGAGTCCCTGGCTGTGTTCCACTACAAACACTCCCATATCAAACCCTCTGGGCTCTGCACTGGCTGGAATTCTGCCCTTACCAGTTCTTTAAGCATCATTCCTTTCAAATTCAAGTGTCCTTGGTGGTCATGGGGGGTCTCCCCCTTCAGTTCAGCATCTGTGCCTTCTCTCCATCTGTTCTGAATGCCTTCCCTCTGAAGATCTGGTATAAGTGTGCCTGTCATCCCAATGTCCTGGTCCCTTGGTGGCTGATGTTCATCCTGGCTGTGTGTAGTTGGTCATCTTGCCACTGTAACCAAAACTAAAAATGTTTAAATGTGAATCTTATTATCACTGGTATTCTAGCCTTCAAAAATGACAGATATATTGTAGCCAATCCATCAAAAATGAATAATTAAACCTTATACATTTTCACAGAAAAGTGTATTTGTTAATTCTTTTCTTTTTTTAGTACTTGATTTTTGCTTCCCATGTTTAACTCATGACATTTAGTCAATTACACTAGAGCAAATTGCTGTTAAATACTTTATACATTTTATGGAAATTGTAATAATAGGTCAAGCAAATAAAAGAAGGGAGCCAATTAATAAAGCCCTAAAAGCATTTGTTGCATTCGCATGCTAATTTGAAATTATTAATTTTTAATTTTTCCATGAAAAATACCATTTAAATATTTTACAAATTTTCACCATTACACAAAACTCAACATATATTTTATTTTATTTATTCTCTTAATGATTTATTCAATTAAAAACAGGTGTGCATATTTGAAGGGTGTGAATAAAATGTTATTTTCTAAGGAGAAAATAAGTATTGCTCCTCAAATCCCAAATTAACATGATTTTTATTGAGTACTTTACTGAGTTCCAATATCTATCTGAATAAAATTTAATATACCAGGAATACGTCTTCAAATTTAAGCAGTGTACTAGTTTCAATTTACCATCCTTACGTGGTATCCAAAGAACAAATTTTTTTTTTTCAGAAATATAAGGAATATTATATTTCTGGTCTTGTTTACCAGGTCATCCAGCTGCAGAAGTTATAAATGTAGTTTATCCATCCATTTTTTGGACTTCAATGTAATCAAGAAAAATATTCCATGTAATGGGGTGTAAAAGTGTTACAATAACCAAGGTGTTATCCCAAAGTTCACTGTAAGATACAAATAGATCTGTAAACAGGCCTACTTTATTTACTTAAGCATTTTAATACTTTACTTTTCTCAGAAAATGACCTTTCACAAAATTTGTTTTTGATGTGTATACTCTGTCAGCATGGAAAGTTCGATAACAAATAGTGCCTTGTTCCATGATATGTGTCGATGTAAGCTATATAACTTCTAGACACAAACTTTCCATTGACATTAATAGATGAGTTCCTTATTTGCAGGGTGGCTATGAAATGTTTTCATCCCCCATTAAGGGCAAAGAATAGGAATAAAGAAAACATGGCCACAGGTCCACAAAAGGTTCTACTAAGTACTTGGTTACCTATAGCAATAAATAGTCTCAAAATCTAGTTATTATGTTTATCTGAACTTCTCTCATTCAGATCATTAATTTTTTTCTAACCAAATAAACACACAAATTCCCTTGCCAAATAGCAATACGAGTTTTGTTATTATTATTATTTTTCATTTTGTTTTGTTTTTGAAAAATACAATTCTGTTTATTAATTCATTTTTTAAAAGAAAAAACATATCTTATTGAGAAGAAACTTTAATACTGCATTTTATCATTTAAAAGTCATTATTTTTTTTTTCTTTTCTATCCATAAATGACAGCATCAATTTATCTTGGGAAAGTCTCCCTTTGGCCTGGAAATAGCCATGTGAATATTCTCTTTTGCAAGACAAGAATGTACTCATTTTAATAAGAGCATGTATATCGGGCCACGCTGATAACACAGAAAAAAAAATCCATAAATGTATGCCTCCATGTTACTCCTCACCATATAACTTGGCTATTTCAGGAATGCAATAGTCCAAATTTGCCTAGAATGGCAAGGGCTTCACAGCTATATCTCTTTGTAATTAAATTTTGTTGAACAAGAAATTCTTTGAATGAATTGGGTCACAGTGATCAAGGTGAATGAAAGCAAAGGGGCAATGTAGTGACTAAGAAATAATTTGCCATAAAGGTGAGCGAGGATTGAATCATTAAGTACCTTACTACAGTTAGATAAACACTGAAGAGTGATTATTTGGTCACAGAATGGCCAGGTATAGCTCACAGAACTGATGGCTACGTATTAAGAAAAAAAAATGATTTTCTACAAAGTGTGTGCCCATCTGTGAACTGGAGGTACTGAAAAGTAAGACTAGCAGTTTTTGATATAAGACAACTTTCACCATGTGTGACTTGGGAAAGAGTGACCTGCTGTATGTTTTGTAAGCCAGTGTGGCTTGAATGAATGAGTGGAGTATTGTACTATATCTTGAGCCCCACTGTCAGAGACCGATGAGAGCTGAGAGCAGGCTTCACCTGCAGTGGCTAATAGAGGCATTTCTTCAAAACGTCTCATATCAGAGAGATACACCAGGCTGCTGGCTTGAAAAACTTAGTGAGCTGATCCAGAAGGCAGGAGAAAGCATCAGGTAGGTCAAAAGGATTATCAGGAGCTATTTCTGTATGACAAAACGTCTATCTCATCTTACATTTCCCATGTACAACTGTGAAACTGTGTAAAAATTGAGGGTCTTTCAAATATATTATTTAAACTTATGAAAAGATTGAATTTTCACATAGGAAACACAGTTTCTCTTTTGAAAGGAAGGTGTCACTACTTTTTAGACAAAATTTTTGAGATCTAGCACCATGGAAGTTAACTATTCATTCATTCAAAATATATTGAACATATACTCTGTGCCAAGCAATACAAATATGGTTAAATTAAAAAATATTAAAAAATTCATATTTGTACGGAGTAAGAAACAAAAAGGATTATAAGTCACTCTGATTTTGTGTGAATTTACTATTCAAAATCTTTCAGTAGCATGTGCTTTTTAAAAGCTATTATTAACATATCCAATCTGGTGTTCCAAATAAAGTAGACAAAAACATGCAATTATTTCCACCACAGGTTACCACTATAATACAGTTATTTGTAGAAGAAATTTAACAATGCATATCAAAAGTCTCAAAAATGGTTGTGGAATCAGATCTAAGAATTACTCTTAAGGTAATAATTAAGTATGTGGACAATAATTTACATCTTTATCCCAGAGAATAATTTAAGACATAAAAAATATCTAAAAAAAGTTACTGGATAAAGTGTTTCGGCAAAAAAATTTACAATAATACGTAAATAGTAAAATTATACTTTATATTGACATATTATATTACATGCTAAAGTATATAATACAAGTTAAAAACACTCCCTAAAAGAGTAAAGATGATAATGATTACATCTACACATGTAAGAGACATCGTAGTAGTGATTTTTATTTTCTTTGTTTTGATATCTTTAAACACATATATAATTAAAAGTTAGATTGTATATTAAAAATAATTGTTCTCAGCACCTATCTAAAGTGAAAAAGTTATGAATAATGACAAAGTTTAGGGAGTGGATCTGATTAATTCTGTTGTCTTTACTAGTAATACCTAATGTCCTTAGCTTCCTGGATCTGAAGTCAGCAGTGGTTTAGCAGTGTGCTTGAGACAAAGCATAATTGTCACTAAAAAGAGAAACAAGAACTTTACTATAGAGTTCTAAAGTCAAAATCTTCAAGCTAAACATAGGTAATGTACATAATTTTACAACACATAATTAAATTTTAGCAGCTGTTGTCAAGGAAATAACATTATACAAGTATTGTGTGGGCACTCTCAAACGTTTCATATACTTTAAAACATAAAGCTCTTAAAATAAAGTGTATGTGAAAGTTCAGTAATTTTTACAAATATAAATGAAGTGTAAGTGAAAAGGTCATCAAATTTGACAATTAAAAATTCCAAACATATTAAACAATTCTGCAAACTAAAAGAAAATAACCATTGGGCAAAATCCAAGCAGAATACATATAAAACTGAAATTAGAGGAATATTCTAATAGTAAAGATTTTAATTACTTGAGTTATATAATAGAAAGCAAAATATTTGATAATACAAAAATAAAGTTTTTGTATGGAAATAAGGTATCATAATAAGTAGACATAGTTCAATTAGGGGAATAAAAGAAAAATGAATGCATCAAATAAAGAGGAATATATAGAAGTTTCTATAATTCACTTAAAACCACTCAAGTAGAACAAAAAGTAATGGTCTGCTTCTCAAGCATATCAAAATGCTAAAAGGAGCATAAACACATAAACAGCAAAATTCATTCGAAGTCATGGAGAGCAAAACAAAAATGTAGATATTGACACACACACACAAACACACACACATATATATATATTTAAGTATTTATGTGTGTATGTGAATGTGTGGGTATGTGTGTATGTGTGTATAACCAATCAGACTGTTGTCAGAAATGTATCATCCAGTAAAGAACTGTCTTTTGTGTTACTGGTAGAAACATGAATTGCTACAACCATTTTGGGGAAACAAAAGCAAAAATGCACCACAGTCTTGAAATTCTATTAAATTAAAAATGAAAACAATGGCAATCATTAAAAAGTCAGGAAACAACAGGTGCTGGAGAGGATGTGGAGAAATAGGAACACTTTTACACTGTTGGTGGGACTGTAAACTAGTTCAACCATTGTGGAAGTCAGTGTGGCGATTCCTCAGGGATCTAGAACTAGAAATACCATTTGACCCAGCCATCCCATTACTGGGTATATACCCAAAGGACTATAAATCATGCTGCTATAAAGACACATGCACATGTATGTTTATTGCGGCATTATTCACAATAGCAAAGACTTGGAACCAACCCAAATGTCCAACAATGATAGACTGGATTAAGAAAATGTGGCACATATACACCATGGAATACTATGCAGCCATAAAAAATGATGAGTTCATGTCCTTTGTAGGGACATGGATGAAATTGGAAATCATCATTCTCAGTAAACTATCGCAAGAACAAAAAACCAAACACTGCATATTCTCACTCATAGGTGGGAATTGAACAATGAGATCACATGGACACAGGAAGGGGAACATCACACTCTGGGGACTGTTGTGGGGTAGGGGGAGGGGGGAGGGATAGCATTGGGAGATATACCTAATGCTAGATGACGAGTTAGTGGGTGCAGCGCACCAGCATGGCACATGTATACATATGTACCTAACCTGCACAATGTGCACATGTACCCTAAAACTTAAAGTATAATAATAATAAAAAAATAAAATAAAAATAAAAAAATAAAAATAAAAATAAAAATGAAAACAAACAAAAAGGCAGAATAGTTCATGCCAAAAAATTCTGCTCTAAGGATTCTGTCCTCTAGGAATGGAAGTAACAAGTGTGAGGGTTAAAACAAATAATACAACATTACCTTAGTGGAAGCAGGTGGGAAACTGATGGCAAAAACTTCTACCGAAGGTTGAAAAGCTACAGCTTTTAGATGGATAAAAAGAAAATTACCTCCCCAAATCAGATACATCGAGAGATTTGTTAAAGAATACAAAATTATAGCTAGATGGGGGAATAAGTTCTGGTTCCATAAGTCTGTAGGATGACTATAGTTAACAATAATACATAATTTCCAATGGCTAGAAGAAGGGTATTGGAGATTTCCAACACAAAGAAATGATAAATGTTTGAGATGATGGATATGCTATTCACCCTGATCTAATCACTATACATTATATGTATCAAAATGTCACTATGCAACCCATAAATATATATTTCTGTAAATTAGAAAATTAAAGCAAACAAAAATCTAACTAGAGAAGAATGCATGCTCACATTATTTGATGTTAATATTTGAATCCCTTTACCAAATATCTTGTACTTCTAGTAGAGTAGAATGTTGTTAAAACTCTTCAGTCTTTCACCATTAACTGGATATATATCCGTATCCATTGTCAGTGAGGTTGGCCTGCAGACCACCATAAAGACTTAGAAAGATACTGGTTCTTATCTTACCAATGCATTTCCCAAAGCCTGAATAAAGGCAATATATTATGTACCCTCTGGGATTTAATTAGTAATAAGTGAGTAGATTTAACATAATAAATCTACTTCAGCATTTCATATCCCTAAACCTAAAACTTCCTTCTGTGGTACACTAAGCTTGCTCTAATACCTGAATTTTAATGGAGATTATGGTTGGGTTTAGATTTCAGTCAACCAACTAATTATTAGAGCTGCTGCCAGCTCCTAGGTTAATAGACTGAACCCATATATATATATTTTTTATTTAGTATTTTTCTGTCAATATTTTCAACCTGATCCAACATTACATCATCCCTTTCACCCTAAATTGGCACCTATAAGATTGTTTCTCATGATTATTCCCAGATTTCTGTTTATTATTTTGTAATTACTGGCATGTATGCTACAACTCATGAATCACAATACCTAACTTCCTTTGTGGGGCTGGCTGAAATGTGAATCTAGTGACATGAGACTGAGGGGTAGATCTTAATGTGAATCAGTATTGCCTTACAAATCAACAGCTCAAGTGAGGCTATTATAGGTCTGTTAGGCAAAGGATATATTATTAAAACATAATGTAGATTTTAGAAAGCAACATTCCTGAAAATACTGTATATCCATATGACATGACTTACATACAGAATAAAAGAAGCAAATAATACATAGATTATTTAGTAAAACTACCACATAATAAATGTATAGGAAAGTGTATGAGACTCAACAAACAAATTCAAGACAGTGACTAACTCTGAAAGAAAGAACATATGTGCAACCAGAGAGAGTAATCCAGGTGGCTTCAACAACACAAATAATGTTTTATTCTTTATTTGTATTCTAAGTGTGTAGGTATTCACTGTAGTAATAGAATGTTTCATGGCTATTTAATTTAGCTTTACGTATTAAAAATAATAATCTCTGTATATACATCATGATTCCATTTGAGAAATAAACATGCAACATATTGAATATGTGTCTCCTTTTATCTATGATTTAATGAGCAATCTGTAATCAGTATCTCACAAAGACACGCACCAAGGTAAACTGACTTTTTCTTTATTTCAAATTGTTCAAATTGTTGCAAAACATTTTATCATTATAAAACAAATCAAATAAGTAAAAAATTTTTAAGGTAAAATTATATGACTACTAGAAATAAAGCATATTATTTAATTTCTGAAAGCATAAATTAGATATATAAGAAAATGTGAAAAACGTATACAGGATTAGTTGGGTAGTATGGTTAGGGAAAAAAAAGTAAACAGAGTGTGTGTGTATGCATACCACAATTCTTTATTTGTTCGTACTTATGGATTTATTTATTTCGTTATCTAATTATTTGTTTATAAATTTACACTTTCCTCAAGAGTAACTATTAATAGAAAAATTACTCTTTGTCTGGAAAAAAAATCTAAGTTTTTCTGCATCATATACTTTTTGAAGTCTACTTCTTTTGAAATAGATTATTGATACTTAAATTTAATCATCTTTCTTGTATAATCTACCTCAACAGGAATCTAAAAGCAAAACTAAAATCATATTCTCATCTTTCACAAGTTCTATCACTCATAGCTGTATTAAATAATAGTAATGATGATCTCAAAGTGGAATTAAAGGGAAATCCTCAAGAGACAAAATGGGTTTTGTGGTATTAGCAAAATACATAATCTGTCTTTGAACTGTAAGTTTAAACTGTTCATGTGCTACTTACTTAAAATGATTTCTAATATATATAAAAGTAATATACATTTATATATGCATATATATATACTCAACATATATAAATATAGACATGTAGATATTTAAAAAAATACTGAATGCTCTCAGAGGATATGAATTACTTCTCATTAAAAGAGTTTTCCTAGTGTTTGAAAAACCAAGTTGACAAATTAACACTGATCTATATTATTTGAAAAATATAATTATCTTGATTTATTGAGTTTCTCTGTATATGTAACTGCACACACACAAACACAGCTGATGGTATATATGTTTTTATATTGGTCTCTGCATAGAAACATATTTACAAATTAATATAAGCCATTAAAATTATAATACCTTAAGAAAATAAGGAAAAATGCATACTTCAGTAAAGAAAAAGCAATTTGAATATTTGTGAACAATGTGATAATATTAAAATTTTTAAAAACCCTAATATATGAAATAGTTAGCTTCCAAATTTTTCTTCCACAGTTAGATTTGCAACTAAAATTTACTATTAATATGTAAAAAGACATTACCATTTATCGATGTTTAAAATGTCTTTAGAGTTGCATTTAGAGTTAAATTTATACTCATATTCCTTCTGTATGAGTTGATAAATAAATTTAACACAATTAAATAATATTGATTAATAAATTATAATTAATCAAGTAAGAAATGTAAAAAAAAGTAGTAAAAAACACAATACAATTGAAAATTAAAAGCTGTGTGTTTATTAATTAAATATAAATGTGAGGAAAAATGCAAGGATATTTCAAAGGCAAAAAGATGTAACAAGGAAGAAAAAAATTATAGGATATTATATATGAATCTGTATTAATTAATCTGATGTTAATTTTAATTTGATATTAGAGAAATAAATATATCTCATGTAAAAATACATTCCTATATTTTTATACTGTTATGTATTATATAATGTAACATATATACTATATATAACATAGTATATATTATATATAGAATATAGTATATATAATATATAGAACATAAAAATGTTATATATAACATATTGTATATGTTATATATTATATGTGTAATATATTAGATATATGACCTGTATGTTATATAAATATTAATATATTGGATGTAATATATGTTATATAATTATATAATATATTATATACTAATATAAAAATATGTATTTGTGCAGCATAAATATAATAAAATTATAATATACACTATATGTTACACATATACTATAATATATACACTATATGTTACACATATACTATAATATATAATATACACTATATGTTACACATATACTATAATATATAATATACACCATGTTACACATATACAATATATAATATACACTGTATGTTACACATATACTATAATATATAATATATAATACTATGCATACTATATATTCTATATTATATATTACATATAATAATTACATATGTAAATATAATACATATAATAATTATATGTAACATATAATATTCATCTGCCTCAGCCATGTGAATAGGATCAACATCAACAGTGAAAACTTATGTTGATAGTAAGTAACCTTGCTATGATGTGATGAGAATGGCATTAACCCTGTTATCTTCCTTTCCCAACATGCATAACTCCAGTCTAATCATAAATAAAATACCAGACAAATCTCAACAGAGGGGCACTCTACAAAGCACCTGCCAGTATGTTTCAAAACTATCAAAGTCAACAAAAATGAGAAAAATCTGAGAAACTATCAAGAGGAGAGGAGCCTAAGGAGACAGAACACCACAAAATAATGTCATACCCTAGATAGAATCTTGGAACAGAAATGGACTATAGGTAAAAACCAAAAAAACCTGAATAAAATGTGGTTAGTCAGTAATAATGTATTAACTTTTGTTCATTAATAAGAATGAATATACCATATTGATATAAGATGTTAATAACAGAGGGAAAAAGGGTAGAGAATTGGGTATATTAGAACTGTCTGCACTCTCTTCACAATTCCTTAAATTAAAAACAATTCTAAAAAATAAAATTTACTTAAAATTTTTATTAAGAAGTAATGCAAAACATTATCATGGAAGTAATATGGTCATTAGATCCTATGATCCAAGTGATTAAAATTTAAATATATCTATATAGCTTTAGGAGAAAATATACCCAATATTGTCATTTAATGTGTTTTGTTTAAAATTAGTAAATATTGTTATTTCTAAGCAAACTATTACCCACAGAATAAAAATCCAGAATGACTAATTTCTATAGAAAATACTATTAGAATCTTGTGTATTTGTTTTCTGGGGGGGATATACATAAACTTTGTAAATATGGCAGAAGAAAGAACCAGTCGGTGCCATTTATATCTTTACATATTCAATCCAAAATAAATTGATTATTTTTAATTCAACAATTCAACATAAGTAGGAGAAGAATAATTGGGATATTTTTTCTAATTAGCCATCTTATACAGATTACATTGTTTACAGTAAAATTAGAAGCATCTTAAACATAAACACATTAGTAATAGCATAAAGATATTTTCAGTTCATAACATCACTATTAACATATTTGAAACAATTGGTAAGTTATTTAATGTGCTAAAGTATTTCTTCACTATCCATCAGCAAATAACATTGTCTTCTGTGGTGAACATCCAAAACATTAAACCTTTCATAAAATATTAATGTTTAAAGAGATGGAATGTAACTATTGATTTTTATAAAGATGAAATCATTACTGTGCTATTTCATATAATGTAGTAATAATGAATATCAGGATATTCAATTCAATTTTCTTATTAGCTATTCACTTCTTATTAAAATAGAACTTTTTATTCAAGATTTTATCATATTTATTCTGGTGTCTTAAATGTCCCTGGGTCCATTAGACAACTCTCTTTTTTAATTTGCTCAGAAGAAACATCATCCTGTGTCCTTGAAGTAAAACTCACACTGCTGTTACATCCTGATAGCTATGGTTTTGGCTTGTACTGGGGCAATGATATGTAAATGATGTGTTATTTCAAAGTGTCTGCAAAGCATTTTGGATGAAGATAAGCTTGAAGTCAAAGGTTAAATATGAGATTGAACTGAATGATCTCAGTGGAAACTGAAGTGCTGACAACAGCAGCATAATCCGATCCTTGGGTTGACCTCAGCAACCTAGGCAGCCTGCAGGCCTATAATATAATGATCTAAGCAAATTAAAAAGAGATAAAAATGTGCTAACGTTTTAGCAATAAGCTCTTAAGCAAAATCATACGAAGTAGTGCGTCTTATAAAATAATCCTGATATATATAGTATCTTTATATGTCGGTTAAATTCACTGATATTCCCTGCATTTGCCTGCGAATTAGGTAACCAATGTTTTATAACTGCCAGATAAAACAATAATTGTGCATGTGTTAGTGTATATTGTTTGTGGGGATCTCCCTATGTATTTTACACAAATATTATATAATATACTCAGATATATAATTTCTTAGAAAATAAGAAAAATTATCTATAAAGAGACTAAAAAGCTATGATAAAATAATGTGTAATTCTCCATATACATACATATTAACAAGGGTAAACGTAATTTCCCAAAACCCGAATAATCACAGCAGAATTTTTAAAACTAGGATTTTAATGATTAAAGATATGCAGTCCTGGCTGCCATGCAAGTTACATTCCTTTGCATGAAGGTAACTGACAAGCAGTTACAAGGCGGACCTACATGCATTGATCTTAGGACATCACTTTATGCAAGTAATTCATATGTAGAAAATAGTCTGGAAGCTGAATTACATCCTAGTTCCTGGTTCCTTTACCTCCAGATAAGGGAACTTGAAGGAGGCACAGTGTAATGTTACATAAATTATTTCCAACATGGCATATGGAGACATATTCCAGAACCCCTTGAAACAAAGGGATTAATATATAAATGGAAAGAGCTACTTTACCACGCTTTCAGTATTTACGTTGGAATTCTTCCCACAATCTACCGCAACCTATGCATATGCAGCGGTATTTTTCTGAGGGTAGAAGAAAACTACACTATCAGCTGAGAAAATAAAATATGTTAAGAATGGAATTGGTAAAAAAGAAAACAGAGCAGAAAATGTGAAAAGAGTGTGAGATCTTTGGGTCCAAAGAAATGGATGAAATAGAGGGAAGACTGGATTCACTGTAACAGTACTGAGATTTCGCTGAGAGTGAGTACGAATACAATTGAATCATCTGCAGTTCCCAACTGTGATATTGAGAGGTGACAGCGTGCTGGCAATCCTCAGAGCCCTCGCTTGCTCTCGGCACCTCCTCTGCCTGGGCTCCCACTTTGGCGGCACTTGAGGTGCCCTTCAGCACACCACTGCACTGTGGGAGCTCCTTTCTGGGCTGGCCAAGGCTGGAGCCCACTCCCTCAGCTTGCAGGGAGGTGTGGAGGGAGAGGCGCGAGCGGGAACCGGGGCTGCGTGCGGCGCTTGCGGGCCAGCTGGAGTTCCGGGTGGGCGTGGGCTTGGCGGGCCCGCACTCAGAGCAGTCGGCCAGCCCTTCTGGCCCCGGTCAATGAGGGACTTCGCACCCGAGCCAGCAGCTGCGGAGGGTGTACTGGGTCCCCCAGCAGTGCCAGCCCACTGGCGCTGCGCTCGATTTCTCGCCGGGCCTTAGCTGCCTTCCCGTGGGACAGGCCTCGGGACTGCAGCCTGCCATGCCTGAGCCTTTCCCCCGCCTCCGTGGGTTCCTGC
This sequence comes from Homo sapiens, assembly GCF_000001405.40. NCBI lineage: Eukaryota > Metazoa > Chordata > Mammalia > Primates > Hominidae > Homo > Homo sapiens. Next base: position 25,200,102 of record NC_000005.10, on the reverse strand, counting down.
GCAGCCCGAGCCTCCCCGACGAATGCCACCCCCCTGCTCCACGGCACCCAGTCCCATCGACCGCCCAAGGGCTGAGGAGTGCCAGCGCATGGCGCAGGACTGGCAGGCAGCTCCACCTGCAGCCCCTCTGTGGGATCCACTGGGTGAAGCCAGCTGGGCTCCTGAGTCTGGTGGGGACGTCTTTATATCTAGCTCAGGGATTGTAAACACACCAATCAGCACCCTGTGTCCAGCTCAGGGTTTGTGAGTGCACCAACCGATACTCTGTATCTAGCTGCTCTGGTGGGGCCTCGGAGACCCTTTATGTCTAGCTCAGGGATTGTAAATACACCAATCAGCACTCTGTATCTAGCTCAAGGTTTGTAAACACACCAATCAGCACCCTGTGTTTAGCTCAAGGTTTGTGAGTGCACCAATTGACACTCTGTATCTAGCTGCTCTGGTAGGACCTTGGAGAACCTTTATGTCTAGCTCAGGGATTGTAAACACACCAATCAGCACCCTGTGTCTAGCTCAGGGTTTGTGAGTGCACCAATCAGCACCCTGTGTCTAGCCCAGGGTTTGTGAGTGCACCAATCGACACTCTGTATCTAACTACTCTGGTGGGGCCTTGGAGAACCTTTATGTCTAGCTCAGGGATTGTAAATACACCAATCGGCACTCTGTATCTGGCTCAAGGTTTGTAAACACACCAATCAGCACCCTGTGTTTAGCTCAAGGTTTGTGAATGCACCAATCGACTCTCTGTATCTAGCTGCTCTGGTGGGGCCTTGGAGAACCTTTATGTCTAGCTCAGGGATTGTAAATACACCAATCGGCACTCTGTATCTAGCTCAAGGTTTGTAAACACACCAATCAGCACCCTGTGTCTAGCTCAGGGTTTGTGAGTGCACCAATCGACACTGTATCTAGCTGCTCTGGTGGGGCCTTGGAGAACCTTTATGTCTAGCTCAGGGATTGTAAAGGCACCAATCAGCACCCTGTCAAAACAGGCCACTGGGCTCTACCAATCAGCAGGATGTGGGTGGGGCCAAATAAAAAAATAAAAGCAGGCTGCCCGAGACAGCATTGGCAACCCGCTCCGGTCCCCTTCCACACTGTGGAGGGTTTGTCCTTTTGCTCTTTGCAATAAATCTTGCTACTGCTCACTCTTTGGGTCCACGCTGCTTTTATGAGCTGTAACACTCACTGGAAGATCTGCAGCTTCACTTCTGAGCCCAGCAAGACCAGGAGCCCACCAGGAGGAACGAACAACTCCAGACGCTCTGCCTTAAGAGCTGTTAACCCTCACTGCCAAGGTCTGCAGCTTCACTCCTGAGTCAGCGAGACCACGAAACTACCAGAAGGAAGAAACTCCGAACACATCTAAACATCAGAAGGAACAAACTCCAGACGCGCCACCTTAAGAGCTATAACACTCACCGCGAGGGTCCGCGGCTTCATTCTTAAGGTCAGTGAGACCAAGAACCCACCAATTCCGGACACAATATGATTTGGGAGAGGAATTAATTATTTGTATCTGTAGTTTAGATGGATTAATAACATTTCTCATCTGTAACGTTTCCAAAAATCAGTTAAAATTAATTGTGTCCTGGTCATTAGCTGTTTTTTGATGATTCTTTACAGTTTATACAATTCAAGTTAAATATATGAATTCTCTGTGCCCTTTTTGGAGCTTTTGTTTTTGGTATTTCTCTCACATTGAAATTTCTCCCTAACTGGAATATAACAATTTTTTTCTGGTATTCTCCGAGGCTATTGTTTCTACTCTTTATCAATCAAGTTCTTAATGCAAAACCCTACAAATGGTCAATAGGTATATGAAAAAATGCTCAATATCTCTAACCAGCAGGGAAATGCAAATTAAATCTACAATGAGAGAACCTCTCAAATCTGTTAGGATCACTATTATTAAAAATAGAAAGTGACAGATGTTGAAGAAAATATGGTGAAAGGGGAAACCTTGCACACTGTTGGGGGGAAGATAAATTGGTACACCCATTATGAAAAACAATAAGGGTGCTCCTCAAAATTTCAAAATTGAACTATCATATGATCCAGCAATCTCATTTCTGGGTGTATATCCATAAAAAATTAAATCAGCATTTCCAAGAAGTATCTGCACTCCTATGTTCATTTGTAGCATTATTTACAATAGCCAAGTTATGTAATCAACCAAAAGACCAACAACAAATGAATGAATAAAGAAAATGTGGGCCAGGCGCCATGGCTCATGCCTGTAATTCCAGCACTTTGGGAGGCCAAGGTAGGTGGATCACCTGAGGTCAGGAGTTTGAGACCAGCCTGGCCAACATGGCAAAACCCCGTCTCTACTAAAAATAAAAAAATTAGCCTGGTGTGGTGGCACGCGCCTGTAGTCCCAGCTACTCGGGAGGCTGAGGCAGGAGAATCACTTGAACCCGGGAGGCAAAGGTTGCAGTGAACCAAAACTGCACCACTGCACTCCAGCCTGGGTGACAGAGTGAGACTCCCTCTGAAATACATACATACATACATACATACATACATACATACATACAAAGAAAGAAAATGTAATATACATGCACAATGAAATGCTCTTCAGTCTTAAAAAAGCAAAAGAAGGAAATCCTGTCATTTGCAATAACATACATGGATCTGGGGACATTACACTAAATGAAATAAGGCAGGAACAGAAATAGAAATACTGTATGATCTCACTGATATGTGGAATCTGAAAAGTCAAACTCATAGAAGCGGAGTAGAATGGTGGTTACCTGGGGCTATAGGTGGGAAACTGGGGAGATGTTGGTCAAAGAATACAATATTTCAGTTACACAAAAGAATAAGTTCAAGAAATCTATTGTACAACATGGTGAATATAGTAAATAACAGTGTATTGTAATCTTGAAAATCATTAAGAGAGATCTTAAGTGTTGACACCACAAAAACTGTTAAGTATGTAATGTAGTGTATATGTTAATTAGTTGAATTTAATCATTTATAAGGCATACATGTTTCAAAACATCATGCTTCACATAATAAATATATATAATTTTTTCGATTAAAAATGATCACTTAAAAATCAATCAAACAAACAAATGAGACCCCAGTAAAGGCCCTAGGATGTTTTCTCCAGATAATTTGTAACCGTCTATGCTCCAGTCTCTCTCTCTCTCTCTCTCACATTCCACACATCTCACATTACTAAGGTTTGTATATTTATTTCCACTGGAGCATATCTATGTTCATCATGCTGATTTGCACAATAGAAAAAAGCTATAATAACTTATTTGATAGATATATCTGCCATATTATATCATATTCATGTATAATTATATAAAATGCATGTGAAGGGAATATTATTCCCAAAGTGTTAACTAACACTTGTTTTGGTTTCTGAATATTATTTTAATTTTATTTGGAAAATTAATTTACTCTTTTGTTTTCCAAAATTAAAACCTTTCTTAGGACATGATATGAAAAACTAACATTGCTGCTGATATAGTCTTTTTCACAAATTGTTAACCGTTTAGCATTTCTATCTGTAACTAGGAGAAGATAATTAAAAGTTGGACAAGCTTCTGCTGACAGCAACTTTCTAACTTCCTTCTCTTAGATGTGACATATCAATATGCAATAATATACTTATAAATGATAAAAATAATTTTAGAGAAACCATCCCAAATTGGAAGGGAGACAACTGTTCGTCAAAATGGAAATACATATTCTTTAGCATTTCACATACGTAAAGAAAATACAGTTCCAGTTTTCATTAATTTAAATTATTCTTTGATAGTTTATGAAAATAAAGGTTAGTGTCTGGACAAGCCTAGAGACATAACACTGAATGTTTCTAAAAAAAACCTGTACTCTAGTTGAGAAATAAAAGAGGGACAAACATAATGATTCTGTATGGCGTAACATAATGTCCTATTAGAGGCACTAACTGCCATATTTAAGGGGAAATGTGAGATCATTTCAAAGCTGTAGGATGTGAAATTTGTGATGGATTTGGAATGGTGGATAATGTATTAATAGAAAACAAAATACGAAGTGGACACGGGCAGAGGAAATAATAAAAATAACAAATAAATAGCAAAAGTGTATCAGATTAGAAAGCAGGAGCATGTTTAGGAATGAATTTTATGTTTGCATTCTAGGAAGAAGAGTGGTTTGACTTTGGATCGTGGGAGGGTGTACCAATTTATAATTCATTTTGAATGCAAGTAAAATGTCTTTCATTATTATGGAGATAAATATACAGTCATGCATCATTTTATTACTGGTTAGGCAATTTTGTCATTGTGTGAACTCCTTAGAGCGTGCTTACACAAACTTAGATGGTACAACCTACTACACACTTAGGCAAGATAGTAAAACCTATTGCTCCTAGGCTATAATCCTGTACAGCATATTACTGTACTGAACACTGTAGGTAATTGTAACACAATAATATCTGTGTATCTAAACATATAAAAATACAGTAAAAGATGCTATAAAGGATTAAAAATAGTACACCTATATATACACCTATATAATAAAAGTCTACTTTAATCTTAGGGGACCACAATTTATATTCAGTCTGATATCCACTGAAACATTGTTTTGCAGCATGTGACTGTAATACAAACAGAGGTGTAATTTTTGAAAATATAATGAACCAATGTTCACAAACTGAGTGCTACTAGATGTGGGAAAAATAATAAAAACTACAATAATGCAGGGAAGAGACAATCACTTTAAGAAATATGATGAGTAGGGTATAGATAGAAGCTTATATTAAGGGAAAAAAGAAGATTCAATTATAGTTCAGATAATGCCATCATGAGGGAATGACATAGAAACATTTGAAACTCCTTGACTGGGAAAATAGTAACATTACCTACTAAGTAGAATTGTACCTCTTTTTCTAGAATAGTGAATAAAGTACTAAAACTAAGAATAATAAATTTTAAGTAGCTTCACCTTCTAAAGATAGAAGAGGAGGAAGTATAAGACTCATCCCTGCAGGACTTACTAAGAGCAATAACAATCACTATCACAAAATACAGGTTGAGCATCCCAAATCCAAACATTCATAGTGCTCCAAATCTAAATTTTTTTTTTTTTTTTTTGAGACGGAGTCTTGGTCTGTTGCCCAGGCTGGAGTGCAGTGGCATGATCTCAGCTCACTGTAAGTTCTGCCTCCCAACTTCACGCCACTCTCCTGCCTCAGCCTCCCAAGTAGCTGGGACTACAGGGGCCTGCCACCATGCCTGGCTAATTTTTTTGTATTTTTAGTAGAGACGGGGTTTCACCGTGTTAGCTAGGATGGTCTCGATCTCCTGACATCGTGATCCACCTGCCTCGGCCTCCCAAAGTGCTGGGATTACAGGCGTGAGCCACCGCGCCTGGCCAAATCTAAACCTTTTTGAACACAAATGTCACAATCAAAGAAATGCGCACTGGAGAATTTTGGATTTTGGAAATTTGGAATAAGGATAATCAGTAAGTATAATGAAAGTATTTCAAAACAAAAACATCTGAAATTCAAAACACTGCTGACCGTAAGAATTTCATATACAGGATATTCAACTTGTAGCATATTTCTCATTTCTCTCATTTTCATATATATAAATATAGCATATATAATATATACATCTATATCTATATACTTATATCAATGTCTATTTATGTTTATATACTGCAAATATATAGAGATATATATGACACATCATATCTATATAGATATATGTATCATATGTAACATATCTATCTACATTTATATTAACATCTAAAATAGATATATAGATATAGGTTTATATATAGATAAATATAGAAAGAGATTAATATAAATAAATGTACACAATGTGTATTAAAGAGAAAGAAAAATGTCAGAAATAAAATGGAGAGAATTGTTAGTATGCCAAGAAAAGAATGTGTTCCTTCCCCTGTCTTTTCTACCATGTGGTGGCTTTGACCATCCATAAAAACCAAGTGAACTGTTTTCATGGTAATCACACCTAGGATGAATGCTGAATGTCAGCATAACCAGTTTATTTCTTTTTGATAAGATTTTTTTAAAAAGGGAATGGGGTTGGCAAGCATTACAGCATTGCAACAGAGAGTTGAAGTAGGGGAGAAACATGTACTGTCAGTATTTGGGGCAAAGCTGTGAGTCCTCCATGAGCCTTGAGTATACTTGAGTTTGTGCCACGTTGCTACAAAAGTTGATTGCTAGAGAGAGGTATTCAGCAACACGAAGCAATAGGACTGGACAACCTACCAGGGCAGCTGAGAGGCAGTTTGGAAAAGCTGTCCCAGAAGGCATCTCTCCAGTCAGGGAACTAGAAAGTATGGAAGCTTCTTTAGGATTCCTGTAGAACCCACTCATAGGAAAGATGTAAGTGACCCAATGGAAAAAGGAGGCATCTACACATTTAGCCTGTAGTTCATCCTGGAGGCCAAAACTCAAGTGGAGAAGGGGAAACCAAAAGATAATGGCAAATTGTTAGAAAAAGATTCACAACACACACACACACACACACACCTGTTTTTGTTGAGGTTCTCCAGAGGGACAGAACCAATAGAAAATATGTATATACAAAAGATGGTTTATTAGGGAGAATTGTCTCACATGATTACAAGGCAAAGTCTCACAGTAGGCCATCTGCAAGCTGAGGAAACAGAAAAGCCAGTAGTAGTGTCTCAGACCAAGTCTGAAAGCCTAAAAACTAGGGAAACTGACATTTCAGCCTTCAGTCTGCGGTGGAAGACCAGGGAGCCCTGGGGAAACCACTGGTGCTTCCCAGAGTCCAAAGGCCGAAGAACCTGGAGTCTGATGTCCAAGGTCAAGAGAAGCAGAAGCAAACATCAGGCACAGAAAGAAGAAAGAGACAGCCAGAAGACTTAGTGAAGCAAAGTGATCCCACCTCTCTCCACCTGCTTGTTCTAGCAGGGCTGGCAGATGATTGGATGCTGTCCACCCACATTGAAGTTGGGTCTTCCTCTCCCAGTCCACCAATTCAAATGTCAGTCTCCTTTGGCAACATCCTCATAAACACACCCAGAAACAATGCATTACCAGCCTTCTGGATCTCTACAATCCAATCAAGTCAACACCTAATATTATTCTTCACAAAACCCATGTGTCAAGCACATACACACACATCAGCACAAACAAACAAGGGACACTATCTAAAGTTCAACTGAGAGGGGAAAACTGAGCGTAAGTAAATGCTTCTTTTTGGCAACAAATGGAATTAGAATGTACAGGTTATCATTATGTCTCAACATTTTAAAATCTGTTCAAATTGTTAAGAGCTGGTTTATGGAGGTTGTGATGAAGGGAGATGAAACAAGACCACTTCTTCATCTTTTCTAAATGCAGACAAAACCAGCTCGCTGTGCAAACCGCAATAGTCAAGCTAGTAAGTCCACTAATGAGACTGCTGCTCATTTACCCATTACAGCTTTAGTTTATCTTTATTTCACAATGGTAATGTTGTTAGAAACCCCATCATTGCTCTTTGTAAACTTACTAGTTAACTGGTTGTGTCTCCATAGACAGTGAGAAAAAGTCTGGGTTGTATGTTATATTTCTACATCTGTCTTTGGGGTACAATTCAGTGAGAGAGCCACTGTTTTCACAATCTGGCTCCAACCACTCATGTCACCCCATCTCCATGTCTCCCCAGCCTCCTAGTTAAACTAGTGAACTCTAAATACCTCACTCATAATAATTACCCTTCACAAAGTTGGTCAGTCAAATAATGTTTGGGATAAAAAAAGTGGGTATTGTGGTAGGAGAAAAACAAGAAGCCCAAAGATTGCATGTGACAGATTGAAAAAAAATCAGTCTCTCACTTGAAAATAGTCATTTTTTTTCTGAGAATTGTTTATTGTTCAATTGCTTGGAATGTATGAAGAAATACTCCAATAATCTACTCAATGATAGAGTAAATATTAAAGTAAATATCTATATACAATTGCAAAAAAAAGCAAAACCAAATTGTGATTAGACTAGTCACATTATACCTGCACACCACAATCAAATAAAATAGGTTAGTTTTAAATCAGATACACACAGTACAAGCAACTCAGTTTTCCTAATGTTATGAACATTGGATTTCAGCAACATAGTTTGTTCTAATATTACAAAGCTGAATACTTTGATTAGTAATTTGTAAAACAAAATATGTTAATTTTTTACCTCTTGAACATATAGTTACAGAAACATGACTCATTTCTAATTTCAATTCAATATTATAATGTATCCTCTGCCAAAGATTTCCCATTTGTTTCTCAGTGGTGTAAGGTGTTCATTTTAATTTAGAAGTTGTTGAGGGCCTAATTATTTTTCTCCTTCTCTTTCTTTTATAAAGCAAAAAATATCCTCTAAATATCCTAGGCAACATAGCAAGACCTCGTCTCTACAAAAAAAAAAAAAAAAATTAGCGAGGCATGGGCACATACTGCTAGCCCCAGCTACTCAGGAGGCTGAGGTGTAAGAATTGCTTGAGCCAGGGAGGTCAAGGCTGCAGTGAACTGTGATCAGCACTGCACTCCAGCTTAGGTGATAGAGTGATACGCTGTCTCTCAAAAAAAAAAAAAAAGAAAGAAACTTTTCAAAATATGAGTTTAAAATGTCGGTATTTTAACATGTATGAAGTATAAATAGTGGCAATATGTTGGGACATTTCAAATAAACTCAGTAATATCACTTTCATATTTTAATACATGCATTCTAAATATAATCTTGTCATATAATTGTTTGCACTTATATAAATAGCATAATAAATCACGTTAGGAAACTGGAATCAAATGAAAACAAAACAAAACCTTCCAATTTTATTAGTTAGCAATAATTAATCAAAAAAAGAATAGACTCTTTAAAAGTATACCCTTATCCGTATCAAATAAAAACTACCACCTCCAAATGATTGAAGATTTTTACGGACATTAATTATAATGTATTGAAATAGTTCAGTAGTTTAAGTTGACCAGATTTATTGCACAGTTTCCACAATGGTTTAAAATTTTGCAAAGGATTAAATGCCAAAATATAAAGCCACAAAATTAGTAACATTAGTTTTATGTCACACTTACTCCAGAAGAAAATGGTCTGGTCTTAGTTCCGGTCCGGCAGAGATCGCGGAGAGACGCAGAACGCAGCCCGCGCCTTCAGGGCCCTCTGGCCCCGGGCCGGCGGATGAACTGGGGGGCCTCGGGACAGGCCGAGCCCTCTGCCCTGCAGACACCGGAGGCCTCTGCTGTGGCTGCCCACTGGCTGTGCTCAGACCTTGAAGCCGCAGCGAACCTCTCTTTCCCACCCCACCTCGGTGACTGATGGCGGCCGTGGCGTCTCCCAGCCCGGCCCCCGCCGGCACCCGGGTCTCCCGACCCAAGCCTGCTGGGCCTCGACGAAACCCCCGCAGAGCCGCCAGGACGCAGCGCCTTTGGGCGGCGCCGGGCGTGGTGGGCCGGGAAGTATGGCGGCCGCTCGAACGCCGCGCGGCGGAGGCCATTAAGGCGTGGACGGCCCGGAAGGCGGCCTAGGGACGCAAGCAGGCTTGGCCGCCTCTTTCGGCCACGGAGCCGCGCAGATCCGGTTCCCGGGTGACCACTCTGTCGCCATTGGGCGAGACCTACCTAGTCCTGACGACAACGGACAAAGGCCTTAAGGGGCCTGAAAGGTGAGCGAAGTCCCGAACAACGACGGGTGGAACGGTTAGCGGCCATCGGGCGGTTGGTCTTCATTCTACCAGACTTTGCTGTCGGAAGAGAGAAATGGTAGAATGACAGGCCACGTTTGGCCAGTTGGAAATGCCCACCACCCTCTGGGAAGATTTACTGGCCGTTTATGGAAGGCCTGTGTATATAATATGAAAAAGCTGCTCTCAACTCCACCCCAACCTTTTAATAGAAAACATTTGTCACATCTAGCCCTTCTAGATGGAAAGAGGTTGTCGAGTTATGATAAAAGAGTTAGAAAGTTACACATCTTGTAAATTCTCATTTGTTTAAAAGAAATCGTAGAAAATACATGTCTTCTGGAGATGACTTTTGGAAATGGAATTGTTAAGACGGCCTCTGGAAGCGATACGTTCACGTTTGTTAAGTGGGTTAGATGACATGGAGCTGGAAGACCTGAGAAGGAAGAGAAGAAGGTTCTATGCTAGACTGGTCATATTTAGAAGACATTTTCATATTCTATCCATTGTTTTGTGTGCATTTTATTCCTCACTACTGTGTATATAGTTGACAATGCTAAGCTTTTTTGAAATGTCTCTTCTTTTTAGATGTTCTGAAGTGCCTGATATGTTAAAATTAGAGGTAGCAAAATCACATTTTGTAAATACCTTTTTGTTACAATTCATAGGAAATATTTTTTGGGGGGAATGGTCAAATCACCTGTTGAGTAATACTCATTGTGTTTGTGCAGTGGTTCAGGGGAGGAGAGAGGAGGGGGAGGTGCAGAGAGCTCTATGCCATCCTGTTTACAGCGAGGCAAGATGTATGTCTGTGCATTTTGTTTTACTTATCTGTGTATATAATGTACATAAAGGACAGACGAGTCCTAATTGACAACATCTAGTCTTTCTGGATGTTAAAGAGGTTGCCAGTGTATGACAAAAGTAGAGTTAGTAAACTAATATATTTTGTACATTTTGTTTTACAAGTCCTAGGAAAGATTGTCTTCTGAAAATTTGATGTCTTCTGGGTTGATGGCGATGGGAAGGGTTCTAGGCCAGAATGTTCACATTTGGAAGACTCTTTCAAATTATAACTGTTGTTACATGTTTGCAGTTTATTCAAGACTGCTGTATACATAGTAGACAAATTAACTCCTTACTTGAAACATCTAGTCTATCTAGATGTTTAGAAGTGCCCGATGTATGTTAAATGTATAGGTAGTAAAATACCACTTTGTAAATATCTTTTTGCTAAAATTCATAGGAAATGCTTTTGGAAATTGAATTGTGAAGCCACCTTTGTGAGCAGTATAGTAATGTGTATACTTGTTCAATGGTTTAGAGGAGGTAGGAGGGAAGAAATTGCAAGAGGTAATATACTAGTGTGTTCATACTTGGACATTTTCAGACACCATTTTTCTATACGTTTTGTGCATTTTGTTTTGCTCTGTATATAGTATATATAATGGACAAATAGTCCTAATTTTTCAACATCTAGTCTCTAGTTGTTAAAGAGGTTGCCAGTGTATGACAAAGTAGTAAAATTAGCATATTTTGTACGCTTTGTGTTAAAATTCATAGGAAAACTTGTCTTCTGTAAAGACTTTTGCATAGGAATTTGTTCGACCATCTCTAAGCATTACATGTGCCTGTACTTGTCCACTGGATTGAAGGCAGAGAAGGAAGGGAGGAGGGAATGATTCAAGGCCAAAATGGCCACATTTAGAAGATACCTCAGATGATAACCATTGTTATGTGTGTGCAATTTTATTTAACAGTGATGTGTATGTGGTGGACAAGTTATATGAAATATCTAGTCTTTCTAGATATTTGGAAGTGCTTGATGTATTTAAAAGTGGTAGTAGAATAACACTTTGTAAGTAGCTTTTAAAAACTGATGGGAAATGCTGTTTGGAAGTGGAATTGTTGAACCACCTGGGAGGTGGGAGGGAAGAAATTGCAAATGGTGTTTTGCCATTGCAATTATTAGAAAATTTCAGCTTAAAAAAAAATGGTCTGGTCTCAAGGATAGTTGTTTGCAACTTAGCTCTTTTATAATAATGTAAAAAAAGATTTGTCTGTCTTTATTTTCAAAAGCTGACTTTATATAGATTCTAGCTTCTGACCTAAATCATTTCCTTGATATAATAAACTTTTACATGAAATAATACTTTCATTCAGTCGATTAAAATAATTTTCCTGCCAGCTAGTAGAGTGCAACATGTGTAAAAATCTTACAGTTAAATGGGATCAAATCAGACAGTATAGATTTCCTAGACCATAAAATCTATAAAAATCAGAAGCAATGGATTTAACTCCCAAATTGTTCATTTAAAGATCTAATTATTTGTGTTTGACATTAAAATAAATCTTAAACATAAGAAAGCACTTTTTTTTAGGAACAGTGTTATACTTGTTATAGTACTAAATGTAGTAATCTTCTACTGGTAGTTGGATTACTCTTTTACTCACTACATATCGATATTTAAATCACGTGCTTAATTGGTCCTATTTAGCCTTGTTTCATCTTATTAGTTACAAGGTGATATTTATCAAATGACCTAAACCATTATTCAAATTTATTTAAAAAAAACAATTGAGATGTTATAGTTTTACTACTGTAAAGTATATTAAAAGAGACATTTTCTATGTGATCTATTTGGAAATTATTTTGTTGGAAAAATCATCATGTAAGTTCCAGATAAAGAGACATTTTACTCTTCAAATTGTAAGAGTAATAACAGACAGCAACATTCTAAATTACTCTTCTATACACATTTCCTATTTGACAATTCTACAGCCATTAAATTAACTAATCATCTTCCTAGGGTGGGAATTTCATGCTTCAAATATGGGTTGATTAAAGATTAGTGTTCCTGGTGGTTGGTCACCTGATTCATCATTAGATTTGAAGAGCTGTGGCTCCTACGATAAATAAACACTGCAAAGCATTCTGAATATTTTAAATGCATGGTTTGTTTTCCTGAGCTCCCTGTGTTTGAGATTGCTCTGGATGCTTATGTGTTTTTTTCCCCTTTGCATCATCCTCATATACTTTACCTAGCACAGTTGGAAAAAATATAATCAAAACTATTTTGACTAAATTTTAATTTAAAATTAGACTTTAGAGGCATTTTTTACTTTTACTTTTGAAAGTAAATATATCTTAAAATTGTGTTTACAAGTTGGATAATCAAATATATTGCACTTTCAGGTATAAAGAAATTACTTTTCTTGAAATTAACTTGAGAAATCTTCTACATCCCCTCTTTTCTTATTAACTATTACAAAACAAAAACAAAACTTACGTAATCTTTGAAAGTCATACACTAAGGCCTTTAGGAAAGAATGTACCAAGCATAACTATTTTTTCTATTGCCATCTTTTATATAGTTATATAATTTTATAATTTTCTTAAGAAATCAGATGACAATTGAATACATTTGGGGTGTATGACTTGCCATTTTAATATATGTATAAGTTGTGAAGTGATTAGCATAATCTAATAAACACATCCATCGCCTCACATAATTACCTTTTTGTATGTGCCATGAGAACACTTCAGATCTGCTCTTAGCAAATTACAAACATGCAATATGTTATTATTAACTGTAATCGCCAGGCTGACAGTAGGTCTCCAGTAGTTATTTAGGTTGTAGCTGAAGATTTGTACCCTTTGTCCAATGTCTCCGCTTTCCCCCAAGCCCTCCATTTCCATGGTAAATGCCATTCTATTCTTCATTATTATGAGTCCAATTTCTTTTTTAAGATTCCACACATAAGTGAGATTATGCGCTATTTATCTTTCTGTGTCTGGCTCACTTCACTTGGCATAATCCCCTCGAATTTCAGCCGTGTTCTTGCAAATGGTGGGGTTTTCTTCTTTTTTATGGCTCAATAATGTTTCATGGTGGAAGTATACCAATGTTTTCTTTGTCAACTCATCTGTTGATAGATATTTACATTGTTTCTACAGCTTGGCTAATTGAATAATGCTCCCAGGGGAATTCACGTGTCTCTGCAAGATTGTGGTTTTATTTCCTTTGCATACACAGCTAGAAGTAAGATTACGGCATCAAACAGAAAATCTATTTTTAACCTTTTGAGGAATATCCATACTGTTTTCCATAATGGCGGTACCAATCTACAGTCTGCCTGTAAAAGACTTCCCTTTTCTTTCCATTCTCAGCAACATTTATCTTTTAGGTTTTGATTAGCCATTCTAGCAGGTGCAAGGTAGTATTTCATTTTGGTGTTAGTTCGCATTTCCCTGGTGATTAGTGAAGTTGAACATCATTTCATATACCTGATGGACATTTGTATGTCTTTGGGACAACGTCTATTAAGACTTTTTGCCCCTGTTTAATTTTAGATATTAAATTACTTGCTGGACATATGATTTACAAATATTTTTCCCATTCCCATTTCATAGGTTGTCTATTCATTTTGTCGATTGTTGTCTCTTATATGCAAAATGTTTTTTAGTTTGATGTAGTCCACTTGTTTAATTTTTGCTTTTATTGGCTGTGTTTTTGAGGTCAAATCTAAAATATTATTGCTGAGGCCAATGTAAAGGAGATTATCCCCTACATTTTCATCTAGCAGTATTATGTTTTCAGGTTTTATATTTAAGTCTTTAATCCATTTTAAATTAATTTTCAAGTATAGTGTAAGAGAAGCATTCAATTTCATTTTTTTTGAATGTGGATATCCAGTTTTGCCAACCTACTTATTGGACAGTCTATCATTTCCCCATTGTGTATTCCTGATTCATTTGTAAAAATTAATTATTAACCATATGTGTGTGGGTTTATTTCTGGGGTCTCCATTTTGTTCCATTTTTCTATGTGAACTTTATAGCGATACACACTAACATTAAAAAAGAGAAACATCTCAAGTATATAACCTAACATTACATCTCAAGAAACTAGAGAAAGAAGAATAAACAAAGCCCAATGTTAGTAGAAGAAAAAAAATAACAAAGATCAGAGCAGGAATAAAAAATGTAGAGTCTAGAAAAACCTAAGAAATGGAGACTAGATGGTAAATGGAATAGAGACTAGAAAAACAATAGAAAAAAATCAAATCAATAAAGAAATCGTTATTTAAAAATATAAAAAAGATTTGACAAAAGTTTAGCTAGGCTAATAAAAAAAGAGAAGTCTCAAATGAATAAAATCAGAAAATAAAGAGGAAACACTATGCCTGAATCCACATGTATTAGTCCATTTTTATGCTGCTGATAAGACTGGGAAGAAAAAGAGGTTTAATGGACTTACAGTTCCACATGGCTGTGAGGCCTCACAATCATGGTGGAAGGCAAGGAGGAGCAAGTCAGATCTAACATGGATGGCTGCAGGCAAAAAGAGAGAGATAACTTGTTCAGGGAAACTTCTCTTTATAAAACCATCAGATCTTGTGAGAGACTTACTATCTTGAGAACAGCATGGGGAAGACTTGCCTGCATGATTCAATTACCTCCCACTGGGTCCCTCACACAATACGCAGGAATTAAAGATGAGATTTGGGTGGGGACACAGCCAAACCATATCACCACAGAAATGCAGAAAATAAGAGACTACTATAAACAATTACATGTCATCAAATTGGATAACTTAAAAGAATTGAATAAGTTCCTAGAAGCATACAACCTGAATAATGAAGAAAATCTGAACAGACCAACAACAAGTAGGGAGAGTGAATCAGTAACAAAAATCCTACATCTAAGCAAAGCCTAGGACCTAATAGTTTCATGGTTAAATTCTATCAAACCTTTAAAGAAGAAAGAATGCAAATCCTTCTCAAACTCTTTAAAAGAATTTAAGAAGAGGAAATTTTTCCATACTCATTTATAAGTTCTGCATTCCCCTGATACCAAAGCCTAAGACATTAGAAGAAAATAAAATTGGAGACCAATTCCCCTGATAAACATAGGTGTAAAAATTCTCAACAAAATACTAGCAATCTGAATTTACCAGCACATTAAAAGGGTCATATCATGATTAAGTGGCATTTAATGCTGGAATGCAAAAATGGTTCAACCTATGCAAATCTATAAATGTAATCTACCTCATTGACAGAACCATATGGTCATCTAAACAGATGCAGAAAAGGCATTTGACAAAACTCAAAACACTTTTAGGATAAAGAAACCCTCAACCATAAATCATATAATGAATGTACCTCATCAAAATAAAAGCTACATATGACAAAACCTCAGGACTGTTCACAATACCCAAGATGTAGAAACAACTTAAATACCTTACCTTATATAAAATGGTAAGAAATGTGGTATATACACACATATGACAGAATATTATTCACCTTTCAGAAGAAGGAGATTTTGTAATATGGAACAACATGGATGAACCTTGAGGATGTTATGAAAAAATGTGAAATAAGCCAATCACAGAAGGACAAATACTATACAATTCCACTTATATAAATAAGTATCCAAAGTAGTCAAATTCATAGAATCAGAGAGTGGGATGTTGGTTGCCAGGGACTGGGTGGATGAAGAAATGGGGAGCTACTAATCAAAGGCATAAACTTTCAGTTAAATAAGATGAATGAATTCTAGAGAGCTGCCCTACAACACTGTACCTGTAGTCAACAGTACAGTATTGTAGACTTTAAAAATTGTTAAGTGGGTAGACCTCATGGTAAGTGTTCTTGACACAACAAAATAAAATTTAAAGAAAAGAAATGGTACCATGTTACCATTATTTGAAAATGGAGTCAGATATAAGAAAAAAAAAAAACCTCATCATTTTTTTATTTTTTTTGAAAAATATATTGGTATCATTAGATACCAAGAATGATATCTAATATCATTTTTGATATTAGACTTTGATATCATAAAAAATCATTAAAAAATCATAAAAAATGATTTTTATCATTTAAAAAAAAAATCTATTGGTATCATTCACCTGTGTTTCTAAAGACAAATACACATTATTTTATTGGAATCCTCTAAGGTATTTTATTTTCATTTTAATTTCCTGTATAGACTTTCATTAATATGCTCATTTTTTCCAACACTTCAATATATATGTCTTTAATCATTTTCAAAGTACTATTTACTTACTTCTAAATTGCCAGCTGATCTAAGATGGCATTAGATGCTACAATATTACTATACTTCTTGAACTTAACTTTTTCCAAAATTAGATAACTTGAAAATGTCAGCATCCCAGCAAGAAACAGGTGGCATATTGAAAAAGGGGATAGTTGAAGACAGTATAATGAAAGCATTCTATACTAGACATGAGAAGTTTTAAAAAAATAGAATTAAGACTAATAGAAAGGAAAATTTTATTACCCTTAAGACTGAAGGGTAAATGTAGAATGAAGTTGTCCACATTATGCTAGGGCAGAAGCTACAGCAAACAGTAAAAAATAGTCACTATGGCATAAGATTTACCAAGCAGGCACTAGCAAACCATGGCCTACCAAGGAGAGGAACCAGGGTAGCATGTACCCTACTTTTCTCTACTCCTATCTCGCCTTGGCTTA
The DNA here is from genome assembly GCF_000001405.40 of Homo sapiens. Lineage (NCBI taxonomy): Eukaryota > Metazoa > Chordata > Mammalia > Primates > Hominidae > Homo > Homo sapiens. The sequence goes on along the minus strand of NC_000005.10, from coordinate 25,182,931 downwards.
GAAAAGCCACAACGAGAGGTCAAGGCACCTCGGTGGAAGCAGTGCCTAGAAGTCAACCTTCTGAATGTCAACATCAAGGAGGTTTGAAAGTGCATCGATAGTGAAAATAATGTACAAACAATCAAACAAATAAATAGTAATAGCTATATGAATCACTCAGAATAAAAGATATAGGCACTTTGGGAGGCCGAGGCAGGTGGGTCACGAGGTCAGGAGATCGAGACCATCCTGGCTAACGCAGTGAAACTCCATCTCTACTAAAAATACAAAAAATTAGCCGGGTGTGGTGGCGGGCACCTGTAGTCCCAGCTACTCGGGAGGCTGAGGCAGGAGAATGGTGTGAACCTGGGAGGCAGAGCTTGCAGTGAGCCAAGATTGCGCCACTGCACTCCAACCTGGGTGACAGAGCAAGACTCCGTCTCAAAAAAAAAGAAAAAAAAAAGAATAAAAGGTATAGTATAATCTGAATACACATTAGGTAAATAGAACATGATTGTTTGAAAAGGACATCTATGAAAAAATTAGTAGATTATAACCCTAATCTAAGTATACCTTAGAGTATACGTTAAACATAGATGTTGTAAAAATATGACATAAGGTACATTAAAATCTAAGTTTGTATTTTAAAATATTCTAATAGAAAATAGAAAATGTTTGAACTTTAAATGTAAGTTATTTATAATATTTTACTAGTTTTTTTACACTTAAACTATAATTATCAACTGTAAATTCATTTAGCATATTAGGAGCTAAGAAATGTGAGCTTTTAGACAAAATTTTTAGGTTTTCCTTCCCTTAGTTTCTAGAACTATACAATGGATAAATACAAAACAGAATATTCTGAATAAATTTAATTTAACTAAATAGGCTTGTATTAAAAATAAAATGTTGTCATACAATATTTAAACTATGATTAACATGGGAAAAGCCAAAACATCATGTAAGTTTAATTGTTACAAACTATTTTAATTATAAACTAAATACAAATAGTTCAGATTTCCAGCACTTAAAATTAAAGAAAAATAATTAAAAATAATTATACATCAGTGAGGTTGGGCGGGGACAAGATGGTCCAGTAGAAGCAGCAGGAATCAGAGGCTCCCATCAAAAATAAACATAATACATGTGAATCCTGCACTGGCAACTGAGGTATCCAGGTTCTCTCATCAGAACTGACTAGGCAACTGGTGTGACCCACGGAGAGGAAGAGCCATGTGGTGTGGCAGCCCAGCTCAGAGCCACATGGGGTAGGGGGGCACCCACCCCCCAGTCAAGAGAGGCAATGAGTGTGCTACCCAGCTGGGGAAGCTGTGCTTTTTTCACAGAACTGTACAACCCACAGATCCGGAAGATCCCACTTGGTGAACCCTTGCCCCCGAGGGCCTAGGGTCCCAACACCAGAGCCACGCAGATTCTCAACAGCCTCTCAGCTATAATCTGCTTAAGACTTCCAAGTTCCTGCGGGGAGGGTTGACCAGCACCACAGCTGCAGCTGCCTGCTGTCTAAGCCATTTGAGCTCCTTAGGGGAGGGGCAGCAGCCAGCACTGGGACTGATAGCTGCCTAACACGCTAAGTTCCCTGGGCAGGGGAAGGGTGGCAGCCCCTTCTACAGTTCCAGGCTGTGCTTTTGCCCTGCTGGAGCCAGGGAGGCTGGACAGCTTGGTCCCTAGAGGTGCCCCCCACAGCCCAACACACCAGCTGTGGCAGACTACAGAGCACTTCTTCAGGACTGACCCTGACCCATCCCTCCTCACTGGGCAGGACCTCCCTGCAGGAACTCCAACAACTCCAGCCAGGGATTCAGGGACAGAACTCTGATCTTCCTGGACCTGAGCTCCTAGGGAGAGGAGTGGCAGACTTAGCCTTTCCTACTGGTAGTTCTGAGGAATCCAGGCAGATCAGACAAGTGGGTTTCCCCACAGCAAAGCATACTCCGTCTCACCAAAGGACAAAGTGCTTCATTAAACGGGTCCTGTTCCTCATGCCACCCAACTGGGTGAGACCCAACAGGGTTTGTCAGACACCCTATACAGGAGTGATGCTACTGAGATCAGGTTGGTACCCCTCGAAGTCAGAGATCCCAGAGGAAGAAGCAGGCACCTACCTTTGCTGTTCTCCAGCCTCCTTGAGTGGTATCTTCAGGCATGGGAGCGAACCAGATGAATATGGCCTGAAGTGAACCCTCAGCAAACTGCAGCAGCCCTACAGAAGAGGGACCTGATCATTGAAAGAAAAACAAATACACAGAAAGCAACAACAACAGCATCAACAACAACAACGAAGTCCCCACAAAAACCTCATCCAAGATTCAGCAGCCTCAAAGATCTAAACTAAACAAACTCATGAAGGTGACAAAGATTCAATGAAGAAACACTAAAATCCCAAAAGGCCAGAGTGGCTTTTCTCCTCCAAGTGATTGCAACACCTCTACAGCAAGGGCACAGAACTGGTCGAAGGATGAGCTGGACCAATTGACAGAGGTAGGCTTCAGAAGATGGGTAAAAACAAACTCTGCTGAGCTAAAGGAGCCTGTTCTAACCCAATGCAAAGAAGCTAAGAACCTTGATAACAGGTTAGAGGAGCTGCTAACTAGAATAACCAGTTTAGAGAGGAACATAAATGACCTGATGGAGCTGAAAAACACAGCACAAGAACTTCATGAAACATACACAAGTGTCAATGGCTGAATCAAACAAGCGGAGGACAGGATATCAGAGTTTGAAGGCCACCTTGCTGAAATAAGGCATGCAGACAAAATTAGAGAGAAAAGAATAAAAAGGAATGAACAAAGCCTCCGAGAAATATGGGACTCCATAAGAAGACCGAACCTATGATTGATTGGATTATCTGAAGGAGGCAGGCAGAATGGAAACAAGCTGGAAAACACACTTCAGGATATAATCCAGGAGAACTTCCCCAACATAGCAAGACAGGCCAACATCCAAATTCAGGAAATACAGAGAACACCACTAAGATACTCCACAGGAAAATCAACTCCAAGACACATAGCCATAAGATTCTCCAAGGTTGAAATGAAGGAAAAAATGTTAAGGTCAGCCAGAAAGAAAGGCCAAGTCACCTACAAAGGGAGGCCCATCAAACTAACATTGGACCTCTCAGCAGAAACCATGCAAGCCAGAAGAGAGTGGGGGCCAATATTCAGGATTCTTAAAGAAAAGAATCTTCAGCCCAGAGTTTCATATCCAGCCAAACTAAGCTTCATAAGCAAAGGAGAAATAAAATCCTTTCCAGACAAGTAAACTGTGAGGGATTTCATCACCACCAGGCCTGCCTTGCAAGAGGTCTTGAAGGAAGCATGAAATATACAAAGAAAAAAGTGCTACCAGCCACTGCAAAAACACACCAAAATTTAAACACCAATGACACTATAAAGTAACTGCATCAACTAGTGTGCAAAATCACTAGATAGCATCATGACGAGAGGATCAAAGTCACACATAACAATACTAACCTTAAATGTAAATGGGCTAAATGCCCCAATTAAAAAATACGGGCTGGAAAATTGGATAAAAAGTCAAGACCCATCAGTGTGCTATATTCAGGAGACCCATCTCACATGCAAAGACACACATAGGCTCAAAATAAAGGGATGGAAGAAAATTGACCCAGCAAATGGAAAGAAAAAAAAAAAACGGCAGGGGTTGCAATCCTAGTCTCAGACAAACAGAGTTTAAATGAACAAAGATAAAAAAAAAAAGACAAAGAGGGCATTACATAATGGTAAAGGGATCAATTCAACAAGAAGAACTAACTATTCTAAATATATATGCATCCAATATGGGAGCACCCAGCTTCATAGAACAAGTTCTTAAAGACCTACAAGGAGACTTACACTCCAATATGATAATAGTGGGATATTTTAACACCCCACTGTCAATGTTAGATAGATCAACAAGACAGAAAATTAACAAGGATATTCAGGACTTGAACTCAGCTCTGGATCAAGTTGACCTAATAGATATCTTCAAAACTCTTCACCCCAAATCAACAGAATATATATTATTCTTAGTGCCACATGGCACTTATTCTTAAATTGATCACATATTTGCAAGTAAAACGCTCCTCAGCAAATGCAAAAGAATGGGAACCATAACAAACAGTCACTCAAACCACAGTGAAATCAAATTAGAACTCAGAATTTAAAAACTCACGCAAAACCACAAAATTACATGGAAATTGAACAAGCTGCTCCTGAATGACTCCTAAGTAAATAATGAAATTAAGGCAGAAATCAAGAAGTTGTTTGAAACCAATGAGAGCAAAGAGAAAACGTACCAGAATCTCTGGGATACAGCTAAAGCAGTGTTAAGATGGAAATTTATAGCACTAAAGTGCCCACATCTGAAAGCTAGAATAGTCTCAAATCAACACCCTAACAACACAATGAAAGGAGCTAGAGAAGTAAGAGATAACTAATCCAAAGCTAGAAGAAGACAAGAAATATCTAAAATCAAAGCAGAATTGAAGGAGATAGAGACATGAAAAACTTTCCAAAAAATCAATGAATCCTGGAACTGTCTTTTTTTGAAAAAATTAACAAAATAGACTGCTAGAAGAATAATAAAGAAGAAAAGAGAGAAGAACCAAATAGACACAATAAAAAGATGATCAAGGGGATATCACAACTGACCCCACAGAAATACAAACTATCGTCAGAGAAAACTATAAACACCCCTACACAAATAAACTAAAAAATCTAGAAGTAATGTATAAATTCCTGGATGCATACATCTTCCCAAAACTAAACCAGGAAGTAGTCGAATCCCTAAACAGACCAATATAACCCCTGAAATTGAGGCAGTAATTAATAGTCTACCAACCAAAAAAAAAAAAAAAAAAAAAAAAAGCCCAGAACCAGATGGATTGACAGTCAAATACTAACAGAAGTACAAAGAGGAGCTGGTACCATTCCTTCTGAAACTATTTCAAACACTAAAAGGAGGGACTCCTCCCTAACCCTAACTCATTTTACTTATTTATTTATTTATTTATTGAGGTGGAGTCTCACTCTGTCACCCAGGCTGGAGTGCAGTGGTGCAATCTTGGCTGACAGCAACCTCCACCTGCTGGGTTCAAGCAATTCTCCTGTCTCAGCCTCCCGAGTAGTTGGGACTACAGGTGCGTGCCACCATGCCTGGCTAAGTTTTTGTATTTTTAGTAGAGACAGGGTTTTCACCATGCTGGCCAGGCTGGTCTCGAACTCCTGACCTCGTGATCCACCTGCCTCGGCTTCTCAAATTGCTGGGATTACAGGCGTGAGCCACCGCACCAGGCCTCCTAACTCATTTTATGAAACCACCGTCATCCTGATACCAAAACCTGGCAGAAACACAACAAAAAAGGGAAAACTTCAGGCCAATATCCCTGATGAACATCGATGCGAAAATCCTCAATAAAATACTGGCAAACCAAATACAACAGCACATCAAAAAACTTGTCCACCACAATCAAGTTGGCTTCATCCCTGGGATGCAAGTTTGGTTCAACATATGCAAATCAGTAAATGTAATCCGTCACATAAACAGAACCAAAGACAAAAACCACATGATTATCTCAATAGATGCAGAAAAAGCGTTTGATATAATTCAACATCCCTTCATGTTAAAAACTCTCAATAAACCAGGTATTGATGGAACGTATCTCAAAATAATAAGAGATATTCAAGACAAACCGACACCCAATATCATATTGAATGGGCAAAAGCTGGAAGCATTCCCTTCCAACACCAGTGAAAGACAAGGATGCCTTCTCTCTCACCATTCCTGTGAAACATATTATTGGAAGTTCTGACTAGGGCAATCAGGCAAAAAAAAAAAAAAAAAAAAAAAAGAAAGAAAGCATATGCAAATAGAGAGGAAGTCAAATTGTCTCTCTTTGCAAATGACATAATTCTATATTTAGAATACCCCATTGTTTCAGCCCCAAAACTCCTTAAGCTGATAAGCAACTTCAGCAAAGTCTCAGGATCCAAAATCAATGTGCAAAAGTCACAAGCATTCCTTTACACTAACAATAGACAAACACAGAGCCAACTCATGAATGAACTCCCATTCACAATTGTTACAAAGAGAATAAAATACCTAGGAATACAGCTAACAAAAGATGTGAAGGACCTCTTCAAGAAGAACTACAAACAACTGCTCAAGGAAATAAGAGAGGACACAAACAAATGGAAAAGCATTCCAGGCTCATGTATAGGAAGAATCAATATCATGAAAATGGCCATACTGCCCAAAGTAATTTATAGGTTTAATGCTATTCCCATCAAACTACCATTGACATTCTTCATAGAATTCAAACAACTACTTTAAATTTCATATGGAACCAAAGAAGAGCCTGTATAGCCAAGACGATCCTAAGCAAAAAGAACAAAGCCAGAGGCATCACTCCTGATTTCAAACTATGCTACAAGGCTACAGTAACCAAAACACCACGGTACTACTACAAAAACAGATATATAGATAAATGGAACAGAACAGAGACCTCAGAAATGACACCACACATCTACAACCATCTGATCTTTGACAAACCTGACAAAAAGAAGCAATAGGGAAAGGATTTCCTATTCAATAAATGGTGCTGAGACAACCAGCTAGCCATATGCAGAAAACTGAAACTGGATCTCTTCCTTACACATTATACAAAAATTAACTCAAGATGAGTTAAAGACTTAAATGTAAAACCCAAAATCATAAAAACCCGAGAAGAAAACCTAGGCAATAACATTCAAGACATGGGCATGGGCAAAGACTTCATGACGAAAACGCCAAAAGCAATTGCATCAAAAGCCACAATTAACAAATGAGATCTAATACAGAGCTTCTGCACAGCAAAATAAACTGTCATCAGAGTGAACAGGCAACCTACAGAATGGAAGAAATTTTTTGCAATCTACCCATCCGACAAAGCTCTAATATCCACAATCTACAAGGAACTTAAACAAATTTACAAGTAACAAACAAACAATCCCATTGAAAACTGGGCAAAGACATTTCTTAAAATAAGACATTTATGTGGCCAAAAAACATTAGAAAAGCTCAACATCACTGATTATTAGAGAAATGCAAATCAAAACCAAAATTAGACACAATTTCATGACAAGCAGAATGTCAATTATTAAAATGTCAAGAAACAATAGATGTTGGAAGGCTACAGAGAAATAAGAACGCTTTACATTGTTGGTGGGAATGTAAATTAGCTCAACCATTGTGAAAGGCAGTGTGGTGATTCTTCAAAGGTCTAGAACCAGAAATACCATTTGACCCAGCAATTCCATTACTGGGTATATACCCCAAAGAATATAAATCATTCTACTATAAAGACACATGCACATGTATGTTTATTGAAGCTCTATTTACAATAACAAAGACGTGAAACCAACCCAAAAGTCCATCAATGACAGACTGGAAAAAGAAAATATGGTACAGATACACCATGGAATACTATGCAGCCATAAAAACAAATGAGATCATGTCCTTTGCAGGGACATGGATAAAGCTGGAAGCCATCATCCTCTGCAAGCTAACACAGGAACAGAAAACCAAAGAAGACATGTTCTCGCTTATAAGTGAGAGTTGAACAATGAGGACACATGGACACAGGGAGGGGAACAACAGACAACAGAGCCTGTTGGGGTTTGGGGGCTGAGTGGAGGGAATCTAGGGGACGGGTCAATAAGTGCAGCAAGCCACCATGTCACATGTATACCTATGTAACACACCTGCACATTCTGCACCTGTATCCCAAAGTAAAATAATAAATAATCTCTGCATGAAGTGTATCTTATAATATATTGTGTGTCTGTGTTATTCCTTTTAAAATGTATTCACTCATTTATAAAAACATGTTTATGCATAGTCTTATTCAGGATGAATTTTGATGATTATAAAAATCATCTTTAATAATATGTAGCTTATATATATGTAATACTTATTAAAAATAAACACATCTATTTTTTGAGCCTCTAAATTTGTTGCTGCCCTTCATGTAATATTCCCTCAGTCTCTAGAATTCTCTCTCCTTTCCACAAGCATATGGTAGAGGAATTAAGGATGGAGAAGAGCTTAACAAGTCAATCCATCCTTTTCTTATTCTACTTTTCTCCACCTGCTTATGAATAATTTCTTTCTTATTTACTTTTGAAATATTTATAATGTAGATATCTATATTGTAATTCCCTTATTACATTGGAAAAGCGCTGCTTAGGTGTTGCTGGAATATGTCTTTGTGTATGTTATTAAGAAAATATTGTTGAACTTCATTTGATAAAGCTTACTTAGTTGCATGTGTGTTGTGAGAAAAAGGATAGGTATTATTTCATTCTAATTAATTTTATCTTAACATGATTATAGAATTGCAAACTCTAAGACTTGAATCAGCATGAGTAAAGTGTTACTAGGTGAGTGAAATATTAAATTCATCAAAGTCATCAAACCGTCATTTATCTGTGTGTTTATCTCTTCAACTGAAATTTGCTAGCATTAACAAATTGTGTGCATTTTTATGTAAGCTCCTTTTCACTGAACTAACCTTTCAAGAGAAAATTGTTCTCTTGCTTTTTAAATGAGAGAGGTAGATCGAGTGAGATAGACATTTATTATTTAAGAATAGTAGAACTTAATGATAGACCATGAGCAGAGTCTATTCAGGCAGAAGAGGGAGGACAAAAAGAGGGGAATGCTTAGACTTTTTCAGGTGTTTCAATATACATATTTTTAATCTGTAAGGACAAATAACAATACCTTTGAGAAAATTATATGACAAGTTATAGGCAAAAGTTTTAAAACAGTGGCTGGAAACTTATTAAATATATTTATTTTGTATTTTTTTGTTCATATTATTTTTGGTTCATTATAGCTTTTTCCAATAGAAAACCAAATATTCCATGAAGTAATATTTTTTCTGGGTAAAAAAATTATGAAATGTTTTAAAATTAGTATTAATAATTTAATTAAATTGTTGAAGTAAAATTTGTCATTTTAAAATGTAAAAGCAGATTTTTTTTCTGTTTTGAAACCATATTATTTATAATTCAAATTCAGGTGTTTCTTTTTTGAAACCATATCATTTTGTTTAGCATTAAGCTAAACAAAACGTGGGACTAAGATTTCAAATAGAAGAGAGCCCTAGATAGATAGTGTATTAGTCTGTTCTCACACTGCTAATAAAGACATACTCAAGACTGGGTAATTTATAAAGTAAAGCAGGTTTAATTGACTCACAGTTCCACATGACTGGGGAAGCCTCACAATTATGGTAGAAGATGAAGAAAAAATCCACGTCTTCCGTGGCAGCATGCAAAGAGAGAATGAGAGACAAGCGAAAGGGGAAACCCCTTATAAAACCATGAGCTTTCATGAGACTTATTCACACCACAAGAATAGTATGGAAGAAACCACCCCTATGATTCAATTATCTCCCACCAGGTCCCTCCCACAACATGCATAAATTATGGGAGCTACAATTCAAGATGAGATTTGGGTGGGGACACAGCCAAACGATATCAGATGAGATCACCATTTTAGAGTTACTTCTTTCCAAATTCAAGAGCAGTAAGATTTTGAGGCATAAACAGATGATTTGGTAGAACCATCAGGGCAAAACAGGAGATCAGGATCCATCAAATAGGTAGAGTCCCATTACACTTCCTCAACTTTCAGCTGAAACTCTGAAAGGTAATACTCTAGGAGTGAATGTGAACCTGAAATAGTCATCTTTTCTAGGACAAAATAAAAATTTCATGAGAATAGAATTTCTGACTGGATATAGTTGGTCTGAAATTGCTACTTTAGCTACCTCAGTGACTCTCAAAATAGATGAATACATCATTAAGTGCATCAAAGTCATCAAGCCATCATTCATCTAGGTGTTTGCCCCTCAACGAAAGGATGTATTTTATTCTCTTAAACATTGCTTAGTACACCAAAGAGTTTTTCTTATGTGATAGATATCTATTAACATTTATAATATTAGAAACTAAAACAGAATTTTAAAACTATAGTAAATTTATGTACACATAACAAGAAACCCACCACATGTTAACGCAGATAACATACTTTATTAAGAAAAACGTTTTCAAAAAACATTTTCAAAAATCACAAGTGAAAAGCACTGCATTATTTTACATTGGTTGAAATATCTTTAAAGTCTGGTGTAATAGATGACTGATAGACTATATTTGCTTCTGCATTTGATATGTTGTGGAATCACATTTCATGTAGTTTAAAGAAAATGCCACTGTACACTCATGAGAGAATGAGTGTAAAATGTTAAAATCCATCTTGGTAGTATTGTGACAATCATTTGAGCCTAGTGGCCCTCTTGACAAATATCTGCTTCCCCATAGGTTGCCAACCGCATTTTGAGAGCCCTGCTCTTGTTAGCTGCCTGACAATAGCAAACATAGCTCTTCTCTAGAGCAGTGTTTCTCAATTTTTCTTCGTTATCAACATTCCAAGAAGCATTTAAAATATATTTTTGCTAATTACACTCTCTTCATGAAATTAATACCTAAAAGGAATAATATTTAATTTGGTAGGGGTGAGCATTCAAGAGCCACAAACCATTCTAATATCTAAGGCATTTTGTTCACACCCCAAGAGATGATACTGCCCATACTATGATTGTAAGCTCTGGAGAAAGTCACTGTCATTCAGTAATCTCCACATTTTACAAAATTATTGAAAACTAGCTACTAGATAGATAACTATTTGATGATAGATGAGATAAGTAAATATATAGATTACCAGATGAAATAGAAATAGATTCACAGAGGATCCAGTTAATATAATAATACTTTAAAAGACACAAATATTAACAATAGAGCAATCCATTTATTCAACATTGAATGATATTGTGAACTTTAGTAGAAAAATGAAAACAATTAAATTCAACAAAAATTACTTCCATATCTAAATATAATTTAAAGAGCATTTATATGGAAAATAACCAGTAAAGACTGTTAATAGGATGAGATGAGGATGCTACTTTTAAGAAAACTTTAAATTTTGAAGTAAATATAGATTCACAATAAGTTGCAAAAAATATAGAGATGTCATATGTACTTTTCACCCGGTTTCTCCAAATGGTAACATCTTGCATAATTATAAAACAATATAACCAGAAAATTCCCACTAGCAGAATACATAGAGTTTATTCAAACTTCATAAATTCACATGTAATCTTTTGTACACACAAATGTGTATGTATTGTCCTATGTAATTTCATCACGTGTATGTTCATGTAACCACCACCACAATCAAAATACAAAGCAATTCCACTAATAAAAGTCTCCCTCTTTCTTTTATTCTATTGCCACACTCACCCTCCAACATCCTTAACCTATGGCATCAACTGATCTTCACAAAAATTTTGTTATTTTGAAAGTGTGATTAAAAGGAATCAAACAGTATGTATCCTTTAGGGATTGAACTTTTTTCACTGACTGTAATTCCTTTTTGATAACGCTCACTTTTTGAAACTTTAGGTTCTCTGTTGGCATTTGCCAAATGATGACACAATATAAAAGGCTGAGAATTAATGTTTTGTCCTCGAAGAGAACTGAAGAGGGGGCAAGTTAGCTAGCAAAGTATTTTGTGGCCTAATGAAAACAGAAATTGACGAAAGATAGAAATTGACAAAATTGACCCTAGGAGGGACAAGAGCCTGAGAAAAAGTAATGAATAACAACCTGCTTTGGCTGATTCTCCCCATAGGGCTGTGGCTAATTATGAAGTTTCATGGGATAGGAGGAGAAGCAACTATGTAGAGAGCTACTGATAATTACAGCAAATAGTAGGCTGCTAGCGATCTAGCTGTTCTGAGGAAACAAGTGTTAGAATTCAGCACTAGCCAGGGGTGGGAAAAATGTGGACAATAAATATACATACATCTAAGTGAAAGGTCATGAGAGCTATGCCCTAGGAACAGAGGCAAAAGGAGTTGACAGTAACTTCCCAGAGTTACAATCTATATTTGAATGAACTCTATCCCCAGTTGGATCAAGGTAATCAGTCCTTAGTCTGTCTGCATAACAGAAGAAAAATGGGCCACATTTTATTCACCCTGTCTACCACTGATGGGCCATTTGGGTTGATTCCATGTCTTTGCTGTTGTGAATAGTACTGCAATGAACACAGGCGTGCATTTATATTTATGATAGAATGATTTATATTTCTTTGGATATACTCAGTAATGCGATTGCTGGGTCAAATGGTATTTCTGGTTCTAGGTATTTGAGAAATCACCACACTGTCATCCACAATGGTTGAACTAATTTACACTCCCATCAACAGTGTAAAAGCGTTCCTATTTGTCTGCAACCTTGCCAGCATCTGTTGTTCATTGACATTTTAATAATCACCCTTCTGACTGGCATGAGATGGTGTCTCATTTTGGTTTTGATTTGCATTTCTCGAATGATCAGTGATGTTGAGCTTTTTTTCATTTGTTTGTTGGAGCACCATGGAATACCATGCAGCCATAAAAAGGAACAAGATCATGTCCTTTGCAGGGGCATGGATGGAGCTAGAAGCCATTATCCTCAGCAAACTAACACAGGAACAGAAAACCAAACACAACATGTTCTCACTTATAAGTGGGAGCTGAACCATGTGAACACACAGACACAGGGAGGGGAACATCACACACTGGGGCCTGTTATAGCGGGTAGGAGGAGGGAGAGCATCTGGAAAAATAGCTAATACATGCTGGGCTTAATATGTAAGTGGTGGGTTGATAGATGCAGCAAATCACCATGTCACACGATTACCTACGTCACAAACCTGCACATCCTGCATGTGGACTTAAAATTAAATTAAATTAAATTTAAAATTAAACGGGAAGAAATATACTTTCTAACATCCAATTAATAAACACACACTAGGCAAACTAAGAGACAGAAATTATATTACGGAAGAACAATACAATAAAAAAAAAAAACAAGCAGACCTGCAGTTGATGTAAATATGGGAGTTAGTGGATAAAACAATAATGTATTTAATGTGATTCAGTTAGGAGTTGGAAGGTTAGCAATAATTAAAGTGATTAAAATGATAAAATAAAATATATTAATATTTAAATATTATTTAAGTAATCAATTAATAAACATACATATGCAATATGTTGTTTTTAACTATAGTCACTATGACATCCAATGGGTGTCCTGAGTGTATATTTAGACTTGACATAAAATCAGATCTATATAAAAATCAAGATTCTAGACTCAGCACAAGAATGAAAATTATTACATTAAAATGTAAGGATTTTCAAAGCAAATTTGTACACAACATAAGAGATTCACAAGATAATAAACTACTGGTAATACTGATAAATAAAATATAGACAGCTAAAATCACCAATACCAAAAATTAAATGGAATTTTCCTATAGATCTTCTAATTTTAAATTTACAGGTAAAGGACAAATTCCTAAAATATCTAGATATAGATAAGCAACACTGCTTTTACTTTTCATTTGGCATGCCACTAAATATGCCATTTGCCTCAAATGCTCATTGCTATGTATTTAGTTACTGACAAAAATATATTTATATTTCTAGTATATAACATGATGCTTTGATAATTGTATACATTGTGGAATAACTAAATCAAACTAATTAACATACTACCTTGCATACTTAAAATTTTTTTGGTGAGAACACTTAAAAAATCTACCCTCTTAGCAATATTCAAGTATACAATATGTTGGTATTTACTATAATCACCATGAGGTACAATGGATCTCCTGAGCTTATTCCTTCTATCTAACTGAAATGTTGTATACCTTGATTTTCCTAAATCTCTTTACCCTCCAGCCTCTGGTAACCTCCATTCTACTCTGTACATATTTTTAAACATATAATTTCAACTTTTATTATAGATTAAAGGGTACACATATGTGTTTGTTACATAGACAAATTGTGTGGCACTGAGGCTTGTGGTTTGTTCCACTGATCCCGTCACACACGCACTAGGCATAGTTCTCAACAGGTGATTCTTCTGCCCAATTACCCCTTCTCCTGCTTCATCTAGTGGTCCCCAGTCTCTATTTTTCACATCTTTACACTAATATGTATTAATCATTTTGCTCGCACTTATAAGTAAGAACATGGTATTTGGCTTTCTGTTCTTGAAGTAGCTTGCTTAAGATAATGTCCTCCAGCTTCATCCATGTTGCTGCAAAAAATGTGATTTCATTATTTTTAATGGCTGCATAGTATTCCATGGTGTACATGTACCAGATTTCTTTTTCGTCCAATCCACTGTTCATGGGTACCTAGGTTGACATTATGTATTTGCTATTGTGAATAACACTGCAATGAACATGAGGATGCATGTGTCTTTTTGATAGAATGAATTATTTTCCTTTGAGTATATACCCAGTAGCGAGATTGCTGAGTTCAATGGTAGTTCTGTTTTAAATTCTTTGAGAAATCTCTAAACTGCTTTCCACAGTTGATGAACTAGTTTATTTCCACTAGCAGTCTACAAGTATTCCTTTTTCTTTACAGTTTCACCAACTTTTGTTGTTTTTTGACTTTTTAATAATTGCCATTCTGATTTGTGTAAGATGGTATCAAATTGTGGTTTTGATCTGCATTTCTATGCTGATTAGTGATGTTAAGTAATTTTTTCATATGTTTGTTGGCCACTGGTATGTATTCTTTTAAGAAATGCCTGTTCACATCCTTTGCCCATTTTTAATTAAACTTTTTATCCCTGATCAACTCTGTTCTTTTTTAATTGAATTTTTAAATTGACAAATCAAAATTGTATATGTTTATTGTACACAAATATCGACTTTTTTCTTCCTAATACACTTGCCACTCTCTGGCATGGTCATCATTTATTTTTTTAGGTGCAGTCACGTGCTGTATAACAACATTTCAATTAACAACAGACCACATATAGGACAGTGGTCCCATAAGATAATAATGGAGCTGAAAAATTCTTATCATCTACTGACATTGTAGCCATTCTGACATATCAGTTCAATGCATTACTCACATGTTTGTGACGATGCTGCTGTAAACAAACCTACTGCACTGCCAGTTGTATAAAATTATAGCATATGTAATTGCGTACATTACATAATACTTGATAATGATAACAAATGACCGTTACTTGTTTATATATTTATTATGCTATACTTTCTATCATTATTTTAGAGTAAAACTTTGAAAAGTTATACTTTTCTGCTTATAAAAAACATTAACTGTAAATCAGCCTCAGGCAGGTCCTTCAGGAGATATTCCAGAAGAAGGCATTGTTGTCATAAAATATGACAGCTTTATGCATGTTATTGCCCTTGAATATTTTCCCAGGGAACAAGATGTGGAGGTTGAAGACAGTAATATTGATAATCCTGACCCTGATTAGGCTGAGGTAAATGTGTATTTTTGTATCTTAGTTTTTAACAAAAAAGTTTAAATATTAAAAATATATAAAAATGTTACAAATACAAAAATAATAAGTATATAAAAAAATATTTTTGTAAAGCTGTACAATGTATGTTTTAGGATGTTATTACAAAAGTCAAAGATTAAAAATAAAAAATTTATAAAGAAAAAATGTTATAGTAAACTAAGATTAATTTATTATTGAAGAAAGAAAAATTTCTAAATAAATTTAATGTTGACTCCATGTACAGTATTTATAAAGTAGACAGTAATGCCTGGGCCTTCATATTTACTCACCACTCATTCAATGTCTCACCCACAGCAACCTCCAGTCCTGCAAGCTTCATTCCTGGTAAGTATCCTATACAGGTGTATTGTATTTTTTATACCATATTTTTACTGTACCTTTTCTAGATTTAGATATTTTTAGATGCACAAATACTCACAATTGTATTATAATTGCCTACAGTATTTAATACTGTAGTCTGCTGTACAAATTTGTAGCTTAGGAGCAATAGGCTATGCTGTATAGCTTAGGTGTGTAACAGGCTCTCCTATCTAGTTTGTGTAATTTTACTCTACAGTGACAAAATCGCCAAAGAAGACATCTATCAGAACATATTCCCGTCATTAAGCAACACATGGCTATATTATGATTTTTTGTTATAGAATTCTCAAATATATTATTGTACCATGATTTCTTCCTAAAATATGAAATGATATTTAATGTCTTCCCTCAATAAAAGACAAAGAACTATACTGAGAAACCATCTTCTTCCACCTTCCCTTCGCAAATTTTATGGTATGCCTTTAATTTTAATTCACCCCTTGACTTTTATTTGATCACAAAGATTATTAATAAGCTGTTTACTTTTAAAACAAAATATCTGCTTTATTATCTACAAAATTTAAAACTTACTCTTTGATTGCTGTTCAGTAAGGTAGTGGAAGCCTTATGTTCCCCATTATTTTCTATCTCCCACTTGCAAATATGTCAGCCATATTATTATATTTATAATTAAACATATATAATAGTTACATTACTTTATATATTTTTATATATTTTGTTATTATTTTTATCCTGAGAATAGAAAATCAGTTTGAAAGATTTTAATATTATTTTTAACTTTTAATATTTTAAATATTAATATTAATTTTAATATTATGTTTACATTCTGCACAATCAGGCCAGTTCAATCTATCTATCTATCACAAAAGCCTTTTATCAATATCACTCAGAGAATGTCTTAAGCATTGAGATCTAACAGATTATATTTTCTCACACTTCATCAATTGCTCAAAATAGCTTAATGCTGTTTCCCACTTCCCTATCCATGATTTCTTCTCTTTGCCCCTTTTTCTAATCGTTAAATAATCATTAAGATGCCTAAGAGCATCCAAACTGTAAAAAATTCTACTGATTCTTCCATATGAATCTGCTTTTTATGCTTGCTATGCAGCCATCATTTTATGATTCTTGTTGAACTCTTGTGTTGAACTTAGACACCCTTTTGTCCTGAGGACCAGTTCTTTGTGTAACTAGAAATAAGAAGTATATATGATTAATTTTTCCTAAAATAATATTAATTTTGCATTAACACAATTGCTAATCAAAACGATTAACATGATTATTAACATGATATTAATACAATTAAAATGATTCTTATTCAGTAAGCTTATATTTTGTTATCAAATTTATAATACCAACAAGCACCAAATTCCCTAAAGGATTAAAAAACGATCTCTGGTGATCTGAAATATCCCAGTTACATATGTGGGTATTCTGTTTTATTCCTATTTTTTAAAATCATGGGTTTATCCTGTTCGTGCTTTTGTGAACTTAGTATATGTACAATCTTATTTTGGCCCTGTATTTGAACATTCCTTTGAGATCTCCCCATCTTGGTATTTTTACTCTAGTTAAATGCATTTTCTCCAGTTTTCCTTCTAGTCCTTCTTTTCCTTTTTAATAATATCTCTGAATTTATTTTAAAATATGTTTTAATAAGAAAATCATGGATGCTACTGAAAATTCAGTAACTTCATAAAAAAAAAAAGTGATACCAGGAGGGCACAGTGGCTCACGCCTGTAATCTCAGCACTTTGGAGGCCAAGGAGAGTGGATCACCTGAGGTCAGGAGTTTGAGACCAGCCTGGCCAGCATGGCAAAACCCCATCTCTACTAAAAATACAAAAATTAGTTGGGTATGGTGGCATGCGCTTGTAGTCCCAGCTACTAGGGAGGCCGAGGCAGGAGAATCACTTGAACCCACGAGGCGGAGATTGCAGTGAGCAGAGATCGCACCAGTGCACTGCAGCCTGGCTGACAGAGCCAGGCTCTGTCTCAAAAAAAAAATAAATAAATAAATAAAAAATAAATAAAGATACCGTGTTTCTATATAGGAAGTTTTAATATTAAAAAGATAGAAATTCCCTCTGAGTTAACTGATGAGTTATTCAGTTCTAGTAAGTATTTTCACTTTGATTTTAAGGGCTGAGGAAGCTAATTATAAATTTTATTCAGAAGGATTGTTTAAAAGAGTAGTTAGGAAATTCAGAAAAGCAATGTGGGGAAGCAAACCATACCAAGCTTTTAAATATAATATAAAGTCTGTGTAGTTAAAGTAGTTTAGTATCAACATCAGAACTGACAGGCATACCAATGAAATAAGATAGAAAACCCAGAATTAGCCAAATTATATTTGGAAATTCAGTGTACACTAACAAGGCATCTCAAATCAGTGAGGAAAAGATAATTGATGTTTTGATAACTAGGTGGTTCTAGAAGGAAAAACTGGATCCATGTCTCATCTCTACATCAGCATATATTGTAAGCAGATAAATAAATGTATAAAATTTCGGTTATGAAGTTTCTATAAAAATTAGTAAATAATGAGTGAATTCTTAGAAATGCACAAGTAGTAAAATTTAATAAGTATTCAAAATTCAGCACAGTAATGGAAAATATAAATTTGATTATAATAAACATTTCATCTCAAAAACATCATAGATAAGAATGACAAATGACAAACTGAAAAATAAAATTGCAACTTCTTTGAAACAAAATGACTGTTAAATTTATAAAGGGCTTCTAAAATTAATCAGGAAAAAATCAACAATGTATCATAATAAAAGAGCAAATAGTATGAATATTGAATGCCAGAAAAAGAAATGTCAGTGGCTGTTACACATATGATAATATGTTCAACTTCAATAATAATAAGAGAAAAGCAAATAAAACTTCATTTAAATATCATTCATTATCTCTCAAGCTTTTACAAATCTAAAGTTCGAAGCTGTAGATCACAAGGACATTTATATATCACTATGGAAATGCAAACTGGCATATCACTCTTTAGGGGAGATTTGGCAATGTTCATCAAAATTGTACATTCCTTTATCCTTTGAACCAGCAAACTTATTTCAGAATACTGGGAATCTATTCAAATTTAAATTGACAAAAAATAGAAAATGACTTATGAACATTGATTTCAGCATTATTTAAAATAGCAAAAGACCAGAAACAACCTAAATGCTGTTTAGGTTGACTGGTTGGATGAATTATGTTGCTTAGGAAACTGAGTAAACAATGAAAAATCAAGAAGTATGCTGTACTGCTGGAAAATGGAATAAACTCCATAATTTACTAAGTAGTTAACTCCAAAATATATTGTTCAATGATGAATGCAATATAGATAAAAGTATATATAGTGTATATTGAGAAAAGGAAATAAATCTTGGGGCCCCAAGATCACTAAGCTAAAGGGAAAAGTCAAGCTGGAAACTGCTTAAGGCAAATCTGCCTCCCATTCTATTCAAAGTCACCCCTCTGCTCACAGAGATGAATGCATATCTGTTTGCCTCATTTAGAGAGGCTAATCAGAAACTCAAAAGAACGCAACCATTTGTCTCTTATCTACCTGTGACATGGAAGCTCCCTCTCAGCTTCCAGTTTTCCCGCCTTTGCCTCAAGTTGTTCCACCTTTCCAGACTGAACCAATGTACATCTTACACATATTAATTGATGTCTCATGTCTCCCTAAAATGTGTAAAACCAAGCTGTGCTCTGGTCACCTTGGGCACATGGCATCAGGACCTTCTGAGGTTGTGTCATGGGCGCATGTCTGGGACATTGGCGAAATAAACTTTCTAAATTAACCGAGACCTGTCTCAGATTTTGGGGGTTCACATTTTGGTAACCCCAGAGGAATTCTGAGTGGAGATGCCCCAGACCTTTGACAAATCTCCTATCAGTGCTTGGTACCAGTGTAACGCCTAAGGTTCTTGCCAAGCCATGCCAAAGAATTGATGTGGCAGCTGTCTGCGGCGAGTGATAGAGACACGGAATGATAGAAAAAAGCTGTAGGCTTTATTAGGCAGAGTGAAAGTACAAAGCTTCCACAGCGTGGAAGGGGTCCTGAATGGGTAGCCAGTGTTGGTTTTGGGTGATTGCCTTTTAAACTCTTCAAGGAGGGAAATATGTGCAGCAGGAAGATGTTACCAGAGTGAGAAACAAAGGCAGTAAATTATTTTGTGACATGTCTAAGATTTTGAGGAAAACCAGAATTGCAACTTAGGTTTTATCTACTTTATGACGTTGTAGCAGCATGGCAAAGGAGACAGGATCTTACAGGACTTTACAAAGTATGTTTACAAGGAATTGGAATGGGGAGTATAGATAAGGTCTGCTGGTCACAGAAAAAGGGGAAGTTAACATTTCTTTTCCTTTAGTTTTAGGGGATGGGGAAGGGAGAGAGAACACAGGGAAACTTATAGCAAGCTTTTAGCTGTTTATAGCTTTCTTGAGGAAGAAAACACATGCACAAGTCCTGGTGTTAGGAATATTTTAAGCATATATCTTCAATATTATTCATCCAGGACTGAAGTAAGTCCTGATGCAGGAAATGAGTAAGTTTCACAGCTTTCTGAGCCCCTACTCGACCCAGGAAGCCCAGCTGGTACCTCCTCTCACTGGTATGGCTCAAACCAGTGGGAGAATTTGCAGAGGTCTGTGAGCATCCCCTCCAGAGAATCTCTGATCTCCAAAAATTTGGTCAAGATCTAAAGTTTATTTTGCTGTACACCTCCCTTCTTTTTTGGAGTTTTACTTGCTCCCAACAAGGAAGGAGAGACTTCCTGTATCCATCACAATGAAAGGCAGGTAACTTCTTTATGGAGTTTGAGCTCCCTTTCAGCAGGGAAGATGAGTTTGAGATCTCTCTTTTTTTTTTTCCCTGCTTCTAGAATGGTAGAAAGCAGTCTTCAGCCTGAGACCCATCCCTAGGTAAGTACCTGAATTGGGGTTTTGTCTTGGCTAAAGTTTAATAACCAGCTGGTCTTAATTTCTACTTACCATTAGAGCACCCAGTGATCATATTGTGGGGTTTTTATTGTTGTTGTTTGTTCTGGATTTTCACCCATCAGATTTGACCAATTTTACCTGACTTGGTCAAATCTGTGTGAGAATTCCAAGTTCTGGGTAACAAAGCCTCTCTAATTTGGACAAAATTCCTCGCAACTGCAAAGGAGGAAAAACATGCACTTAGTTTACGAGTTTTCGTCTTGTTTTTTTAAAAAACAAAAGTTCTTTCATTTACTTTTCTTCCACCCTGTACCTCCTGCCCCCTTTGCCATCTGTAGTACCAAAAAATCTAAAGGAGTCATATAATGACTTGAACCACTTTAAAGAATTCACCTGTTTTGGGGTATTCTGTTTTCTTGGTGGAGTTTCAAGAGTCATGGGCAGCTTCTTCTTAGGTCTAAAGCTCTGTTTTCCTGTATTGCATGACTTGGCCTCTTTGGCTTTGGGGATCACAGAGATTACCTTGTACTGTGAGAGGATTTGACCTTGGCATGTGTAATGGCAGATGAGAGCTACAAAGTAGGGGTGGCTGAGCAGGAGTTTAAATAAAGTGGTCTTGGCTGTTGTCTTTTTCTCTCTCCCAGGAAGTTGTTGTCTAAGGATTCTAATTCTAGTCTGGAGATACATTCTAAGGAGACTTCTCTAACGCTTTTTCTCCCAAATTACTCTCAATTCGGCTTGTCTATGTGCATTGGTGTGAGGAGCTGAACTGCTGTTTTCAAAGCTAAATGAGAGATTGAGTTTTCTCAGCTCCAAAGAGAAAGGGCATTTGTTCCTCCCACCAAAAGGCACCCCTGGGTGACTGGGGGCCTCGTGGGAGTCTCTGGGGTTTTGAACCCCCACAGCGTGCAGCAGCCCCGCAGGGAAATCCCCAACAAAAATTAATTCAAAATAACAATAACAAAACCCCCCACTTGTCCAGGAAATGCATATAAGGGCTGATCACCTGCCATTTTGAGTCTTCTCTGAGGTCACAGACCTCTGGAGAGAGAAACTGAGACACATAAGAGTGTGGAAATGACTCAGTGTTGATACACTGTGGAGTCCTGCCCACAAGCAGCACACATTGATCCACCACACAAAAACGCTAGGCCACAGCTCAGTTCCTCCTTTTAAGAAAAAGAGTGGAAAACAATCTAAGAATGAGGAGAAAACAAGGAGAATGACCCCCTTTCAAGCACTCCATAGGTTTTATGGCACTTCCACTTGCCAGGGTTTATGTAAAATGAAAGTAATATGGTCTTTGAGTACACTTACATTAAAGTAAAAGAGCCCTGAGGTCGACCTGCAAACTACAGACTTCCTAAGTTCTCTTTTTCTCTATTTTTCTTTTCTGCCTGCTTTAAATCTGCTGTTTTCTATTAAGATAAAAACCACTATTTGGATTCAAAAGGTTATTCTTGCAAGCCAGTGAATTTGTATTTATCTCATGGCTAAAGTTATGGAGTAAAAGATTTAGGATCTGTGTGTGTGTGTGTGTGTGTGTGTGTGTGTGTGTGTGTATGTGTTCATAATTTCTGTAATTTTATGTTCAATTGGCAATTAAACCCATTTTAATTTCCCTCTAGCATATCAGAATTTTTCTCACTGTATCTTATGATGTAAATTTTGCTCTTGGATTTTCACCTGAGTTATTTTCTTTAATATGCAAATTTAAGGCTATTTAGCTAACAACTACCTATGGTAGTAAAACAGGTTATCAAGACTGAAAGTTTAACAAAAAAAAGTTTATCATGAATCTATAAGATGTATTTCTATCAGCATGCCTAATACATTTATGTATTTATGTGTTGTTTACACAACATTTCACTACTGGAAAAAAGGAACTCTAATTAATTGGCTTAAGAAAATAAAAGCACTTGAATCAAATACTTTATCAGGAAAAGGGAAAAGACTACTCAACTGCTTTTTCAAGTTAACATAACTTAAGCAAAATCTTTAATAAATAATCTAGATTTAAAATTATTGGTTAAGTAATGTTAGAAATCTCTTAAAAATTGCCAGCAGACATTGTTGTTTACATTTAATCAAGCAATTTAATACTTATTCTTGCCAAATAATATAATGTGTCAAAATTTGGCATAGGGTTTGCAAAAGTATAATCCCAGCCCAAAGCAGAATGATCTTTGCTTGTGTAATCTTTAATAAATAAGACATTGATTTATTAACAATAACATTGGTTTTATAACAATAGCTACATCTTGAATTTAGTAAGATTACCATAACTTCTAATCTTGTGGCTTTAGGCAATCTAGTCCACAGGCTGTAAGGTTTGTTTTGAGAAGGAACTGTTAGTGTCTTTGTTTCAAAGCTAAAGTATAAATTAATTTCCTCCCAAAGTTAGATCAGCCTAGGCCCAGGAATGAACAAGAACAGCCTTGAGGTTAGAAGCAAGATGGAGTCAGTTAGGTCATATCTTTTTCACTGTCTCAGTTAAAATTTCACAATGGCAGTTCTATAACTTTAAATAATGAGTATCACAGTTTTCACAAATTATGTAGGTAAATGATTAAAATAAAATAATTAGGTAAACGTAACAGGATAAATACATGTAGAAAATGTCATAATTTAGAATCTAAAGTTGTATTAAATTTAATAATAGGTATTTCATTATATGGATATTTTCCAATAAAATAATACCCTATATACTATAAAAATATATTATATATTATAAATATCCAAATTATTTTATATATTATAAAAATATATCTATAAATATATATTTAGAAAACATTATTTCTAAAAAACATGTCTTTTTTTAAAAGATGAACCATTTTTTTCTATTTCAAAGCTTATTTAAAGCTAGGTAAAAACTAGGTAAAAGAAACCAGAAAATAAGAGAGATGTAAAGAAAATTATAAAAATAGTGATTTTTTTGGTAAGAAAGGTTAAAGAGAAATAATTTTATATGAGAAACAATATTATATGGTAGATTTATTCCTAGAATAAAATGGTTGTTTAAACAAGAGGTTATGTTCAGGACAAATAAAAATTTCAAGCATGTCATGAAGGGTCTTTATAAGTCATAAGTCACAATAAGAGGATTTATTAAAAAAAAAAGAAACCAACAGTGAAATTTTCTTAAGGAATTGATTTACTCTTAATAAATCATAGGAGATTTTAATTTTTTTTACCCAAGTTTAACTTTTATTGCATCTTGCCACTTTCAGGTTTTTCTCCCCTTTTAAAAGGCGCAAAATGATAATGTTCTCCTTCAACTCATTTTCAGCTCGTATAAGTCTTTTTTCCTCAATTTCTGTTTGTTGTGGTCTGATGCTAACAATGCTTTCTTAAATGCCCAAAGGAAATGTTTTCTTCAACATAATATTCTGTTCAGTGCACATGGTTTTTATTTCTGCCTTTCAGTAACTGGCCTAAAAGATATTTCATTTTATCAAAAGCAATTCCTATGCCATTATAAAGTTTTGGTTTGCTTAGGAAAAAAAACTTTGATAAAATTTTTATCTTTAATTAAGGTTATTAAATCTGTGTGTCTTTCTACATGTGCTTTTAAAGTTTTTGTGACATTGAGTTACAGGGCTTTGACTCCTGGGTCTAAAAAGGACTCCAAGTCCTGCTAAACTGTAAATACTGAGAGCAGTTAAAGCCTCATCTTCAGACCCAGTAGAAGATGCCTATCAAAATAAACTGCATTCTTGAGACGCAGGGCCAAAAATAAAGCAATTCAACAACTCAAGATCCAGGGACTCTCACAGAAAAAGTGGGCATGTGAGATTTTAAGGGCTGATCTTGAGATTAAAATAAGTTCAGTTTCTGTATAAAGTAGTCATTAATGTCAAAGGACACTGATGCAAGACGAGCATATGGACTCTTATCTCAAATTAACAAGGTTTTCTTCAAACTGTAACTATTAGCCCTTTGTCAGATGGATAGATTGCAAAAATTTTCTTCCATTCTGTAGGTTGCCTGTTCATGCTGATGATAGTGTCTTTTGCTGTGCAGAAGCTCTTTAGTTTAATTAGATCCCATTTGTCAATTTTTGCTTTTGTTGCCATTGCTTCTGGTGTTTTAGTCATGAAGTCTTTGCCCATGTTTATGTCCCGAATGGTATTGCCTAGGTTTTCTTCTAGGGTTTTTATGGTTTTAGGTATTACATTTAAGTCTTTAATCCATCTTGAGTTACTTTTTGTATAAGGTGTAAGGAAGGGATCCAGTTTCAGTTTTCTGCATATGGCTAGCCAATTTTCCCAACACCGTTTATTCTACTATAATGGCACATGCACACGTATATTTATTGTGGCACTGTTCACAATAGCAAAGACTTGGAACCAATCCAAATGCCCATCAATGATAGACTGGATAAAGAAAATGTGGCACATATACACCATGGAATACTATGCAGCCATAGAAAGGATGAGTCAATGTGCTTTGCAAGGAAACCATCATTCTCAGCAAATTAACACAATAACAGAAAACCAAACATCACATATTCTCACTCGTAAGTGTGAGCTGAACAATGAGAAGACATGGACACAGGGAGGGGAACATCACACACCAGGGCCCGTTGGGGGGGTGTGGTTCTGGGGGAGGGATAGCATTAGGAGAAATACCTGATGTAGATGACGGGTTGATGGGTACAGGAAACCACCATGGCACATGTATACCTATGTAACAAACCTGCTTGTTCTCCACATGTACCTCAGAACTTAAAGTATAACTAAAAAAAACCAAAACACTGACTTTTTAATAAAGATTATAAAGGTTATAAAAGGTTTATGGAGGTTATACCCTATGGTCGAGATTAAAATCTTACAGATTGTTTATAAAATTTCAAAAAACAAATTTAATTGGCTTCATGCTGTTTTTATTAGGTTTCATTATTTAGAAAATTAAGTCTACTCTCTCAAAGAAAGAAAGTTTTTGCCTTTTTGAAAAAATCCTTGAGTTATTTATTTGGTCAAATGAATAACTTATTTTACAATGACCTGTGACGTCAAGTGTTTTAAATCTTTGATATTTGACAGACTTTCCAAAATTAAATAAAAAATTCTGTCTTTTACTAATGTAATTAATCCTTTAAGATATTTGTGAAATAAATTGAAACCCTTTTAGTGTTTGGCCATTATGTACAATTCTAGCTTTGGTATTAAATAATATAGCTTATTTGTTCAATAAAATTTGCATGAAAGCTGCTACATGTTAGTTACTCTTCTTGGTTTAGAAAAGATTTTCAGTATACAACACAGATATCTTAGTTTATATTTCTTTAAAAGCAGAACCTGAGACAAGAACTTAGTTGCAGATAATTTAGTAAATACTCTGAAGGAGGAGTGACAGAGAAGAGCATTAGATAAGTAAGAATGAAAAACTGATATAAGGCTATGTAATCCAGGTCACTGGTTGTAGGCAATGAGAGCATAATTCTGCTAGGAATCCAAAGGCGGAGGCTGGAGTTTTTATCCACTGACTTCCATCTTTCATTATTTGAGGGTTACCTTTGGGGTCATTAACTTTACTATATTTATAGACTGTATTTATGCAGACTATTCTCAGCTTTGGGAAAGGTCCTGAGTACAAAAAGCAGGGAAACATTTGTTTTGGTCTTTAGATAATAACAGGAGTTTGAGTTCCCCAGTAGCTATCCACTTCCATTGTGGCTGAAATTGAAAAGGGCCAATGTGATGTAATATTGAGTATCAAGTGTGAGGGCTCTCGGAGGTTGATTACGCTATTACACAGTAAATTCATTTGATTATGCTATTACACAGTAAATTCTTCTCTGTCACATATTTTGAAACTGGTGGCTAGATCTAAGCTCTGAAAATATCAAAATGTTAAAGAAATAAACCACAGTATCTGCTGTTATAAGTGGCCCAAAGGCAGAA